>NC_000011.10:50364539-50516808 GCF_000001405.40 Homo sapiens
GATAAAAACTAGAAAGGAGCTATCTGTGAAACTGCTTGGTGATGTATAGATTCAACCCAATAGTTAAGCCTTTCTTTTTATTCAGCAGGTGGTAAGCACTGTTTTTGTAGTATCTTCAAAGGGACATTTGGGAGCACAATGATGCCTATGGGGAATAACTGAATATCCCAAAATAAAAATTAAAAAGAAGCTATCTGTGAAACTGTTGGATGATGTGTGGATTCATCTCACAGAGTTAAACCTTTGTTTTGATTTAGCAGGTTGGAAACACTCTTTTAATAGAATCTGCAAAGGGCCATTTGGGAGCTTATTGAGGCCTATGGAGAGAAACTAATTATCCCCAGATAAAAATTGGAAAAATGTATCTGTGAAACTGCTTGGTGATATGTGGATTCACCTTATAGAGTTAAAACTTCCTTTTGATACTGCATTTTGAAAACACTCTTTATGAAGAATATGCAAAAGAATATTTGGTACCCCATTAAGGCCTATGGGTAAAAAAATGAATATCCCCAGATAAAAAATAGAAGCTATCTGTGAAACTGCTTGGTGATGTGTGGATTCATCTAACAGAGTTAAAACTTTGTCTTGATTCAGCAGGTTAGAAACACTCTTATTGAATCTGTGAAGGGACTTTTGGGAACCCATTGATGCTTAAGGGAAGAAAACGAATATCCTCAGATAAAAAGTAAAAAAAAAAAAATGCTATGTGAAACTGCCTGGTGATACGTGGATTCAACTCACAGAGGCAAACCTTTATTTTGATTCAGCAGGTTGGAAATACTATTTTTGTTGAAACTGTGAGGGATGTTTTTCAGCCCACTGAGGTCTGTGGAAAAAAACTGAATATGCCCAGATAAAAACTAGAAAGAAGCTATCTGTGAAAATGCTTTGTAATGTGTGGATTCATCTTGCAGAGTTAAAACTTTCTGTTGATTCAGCAGGTTGGAAACAATCTTTTTGTAGAATCTGCAAAGGGACATTTTAATCCATTGAAACCTAAGGGGAAAAACTGAATATCCTCAGATAAAAACTAGAAAGAAGCTGTCTGTGAAACTTCTTGGTTATGAGTGGATTCATGTAACAGAGTTAAACCTTCCTTTTGATTCAACAGGTTAGCAACTATTTTTGAGGACTCTCTGAAGGGATATTTGGGAGCCCCTTGAGGCCTATGGTGAAAAACCAAATATCCCCAGATAAAAACTAGAAAAAACTATCTGTGAAACTGCTTTGTGATACGTGGATTCAACTCACAGGGTTACACCTTTCTTTTTATTCAGCAGGATGGAAACACCCTTTTTGTAGAATCTGCAAAGAAGCATTTGGGAGCCCACTGAGTCCTATGGGGAAAAACTGAATATCCCCAAATTTAAACTAGAAAGAAGCTATGTTTGAAACTGCTTAATGATGTGTGGATTCATCTCACAGAGTTAAACCTTTCTATTGATTCAACAGAAGGAAACACTCCTTTGTAAAATCTGAGAAGTGACATTTGTGATCCCATTGAGACCTATGGGAAAAAAAACCAATATCCCCAGATAAAACCTTGAAAGAAGATGCCGGTGAAGCTTCTTTGTGATGTGTGGATTCATCTCACAGAGTTAAAACTTTCTTTTGATTCAGCTGTTTGGAAATACTCTTTTTGTAGAATCTGTGAAGGGACGTTTGAGAGACCTTTGGGGCTTATGTGAAAAAACAAATATCCTCAAATACAAACTAGAGAGAATAGATCTGTCTGTGAAACTGCTTTGTGATGCATGGATTCATCTCATAGAGTTAAACCTCTCTTTTGATTCAGCAGGTTGGGAAGACTCTTTTTGGAGAATCTGCAAAGGGACATTTGGGAACCCATTGAGGCCTATAGGGAAAAACCCAATATCCCCAGATAAATACGGGAAAGAAGATGTCTGTGGAACTACTTTGTGATGTCTGGCTTCATCACACAGAGTTAAACCATTTTTTTTAATTCAGCACTTTGGAAACAGTCTTTTTGTAGAGTTTGCAAAAGGACATTTTGGAGCCCATTGAGTTCAACGAGGAAAAACCAAATATCCACAAATGAAAACTAGAAAGAAGCTATCTGTGAAACTGCTTTGTGATGTGTGGATTTATCTCTTTGATTCTGCAGTTTGGAAACACTTTCTTTATAGAATCTGTGAAGGGACGTTTGTAATCCCCCTGAGGCCTAAGGGGAAAAACTGAATATCCCCAAATAAAAACTAGAAAGAAGTTATCTGTGAAACTGCTTAGTGATGTGTGGATTCGTCTCACAAAGTTAAACCTTTCTTTTGATTTGGCAGCTTGGAAATACTCTTTTTGTAGAATCTGCAAAGGGACATTTGCAATCCCATTAAGGCCTATGGGGAAAAAACAAATATCTACAGATAAAACCTTGAAATAAAGTGTCTGTGAGACTGCTTTGTGATTTGTGGATTCATTTTCCAGAGTTAAACGTTTCATTTGATTCAGCAGGATGGAAAAACTCCTTTTGTAAATTCCGAGAGGGGATATTTCAGAGCACATAGAGACCTATGTGGAAAAACAGAATCTCCCTAAATAAAAGCTAGAATAAAACTATCTGTGAAACTGCTTGGTGATATGCAGATTCATCTCACAGAGTTAAAGGTTTCCTTTGATTCAACAGGTTGAAGACCCTCTTTTTTTTTTTGATAGAATCTCAGTCACCCAGGCTGGAGTGCAGTAGCGTGATCTCGGCTCACCGCAAGCTCCGCCTCCTGGGTTCACGCCATTCTCCTGCCTCAGCCTCTCCAAGTAGCTGGGACTACAGGCACCCACCACCATGCCTGGCTAATTTTTTGTATTTTTAGTAGAGACAGGGTTTCACCATGGTCTCAATCTCCTGACCCTCTTTTTGTAGAAACTGTGTAGGGATACTTGGGATCCCATTAAGGTCTATGTAGTAAAACCTAACATCCCCAGATAAAAACTTAAAAGAAGGTATCTGTGAAACTGCTTTGTGATATGTGGATTCATCTCATGGAGTTACACCTCTTGTTCGATTCAGCAGGTTTGAAACACTCTTTTTGTAGAATCTGTGAAGGAACATTTGGGAGCCCATTGAGGCTGATGGGAAAGAACAGAATTTCCCCAGATATAAACTAGAAAGACGCTATCTGTGAAACTGCTTTGTGATGGGTAGATTCATCACACAGAGTTATACTTCTCTACTGATTCAGCACATTGGAAACACTCTATTTGTTGAATCTGCTACGGGATATTTTGAAGCCCATTGAGGCCTAAGGGGAATACAGAATATCCCCAGGTAAAAACTAGAAAAAAGGTATCTGTGAGTCTGCTTTGTGTAGTGTGGATTTGTCTCACAGAGTTAAGCCTTCCTTTTCATTCTGCTGGCTGGAACATTTTTTGTATAATTTGCAAAGTGACAGTTTGGGTTTTGAGGCCTATGGGGAAAAAACAAAAATCCCCAGATAAAACCTAAAAAGAAGTTATCAGTGATACTGCTTTGTCTTGTGTGTGGATTCATCTCATAGAGTTAAACCTTTGTTTTGATTTTGCAGGTTGGAAACACTCTTTTAATAGAATCTGCAAAGGGGCATTTGGGAGCTTATTGAGGCCTATGGGGAGAAACCAATTACCCCCAGATAAAAATTGGATTTTTATGTGTGGATTCATCTCATAGATGGATGTGTGGATTCTTCTCATAGATGTGTGGATTCATCTCATAGAGTTAAAATGTTCTTTTGATTCAGCAGGTTGGAAACACTGTTTTTGTTAAATCTGCAAAAGTACATTTGGGAGCTCATTGAGGCCTATGGTGAAAAAGAAAATGCCTTCAAATGGAAACCTAAAGAAACTATATGAGAATCTGTTTTGTGAAGTGTGGATTCATGTCACAGAATTAAACCTTTCTTTTGATTCAGCACTTTGGAAACACTGTTTTTGTAGAATCTGTGAAACGACATTTGGAAGAACATTGAGACCTGTGGTGAAAAAGCATATAATTCCATTTAAAAACTGGAAAGAATGCTAACTGTGAAACTCCTTTGTGATGTGTGTGTGTATTTATCTCACAGAGTTAAACCTTCCTTTTGACTCAGCAGACTGGAAAATCTTTTTGTAGAATCTATGAACGGATATTTGGGAGCTCTCAGAGGCCGACTGTAAAAAACTGAATATTCCCAGATAAAAACTAGAAAGAATCTCTCTCTGAAACTGCTTTGTGATGTGTGTATTCATCTCACAGAGTTAAACAGTTCTTTTGACTCAGCAGTTTGGAAACACTGTTTTTGTAGAATCTGTGAAATGACATATGGGAGCCCATTGAGGCCTACAGTGAAAAAGCGAATATTTTTATATAAAAACTCGAAAGAAGCTATCTTTGAAACTGCTTTGTGATGTGTGCCTTCATCTCACAGAGTTAAACCTTCCTTTTGATTCAGCAATTTGGAAACATTATTTTTCTACAATCCTAGAAAGGATATTTGGGAGCGCATGGAGGCCTATGGTGAAAAAGTAAATATCTTCAGTTAAAAACTGGAGGAAGCTCTCTGAGAAACTGCATTGTGATGCATAGATTCATCTCACAGATTTAAACCTTTCTTTTGATTCAGCAGTTTGGGAACACTGTTTTTCTAGGATATTTGTAGGGACATTTGGGAGCACACTGACGTCTATGGTGAAAAGTGAATATCTCCATATATAAACTAGAAAGAAGCCATCTGAGAAAATGCTTTGTGATGTGTGCATTCATCTCGCAGAGTTAAACCTTTCTTTTGATTCAGCAGTTTGTAAACACTGTTTTTGTACAACCCTAGAAAGAACATTTAGGAGGGCATCGAGTCCTATGGTGAAAAACCGAATATCCCCAGATGAAAAGTAGAAAGAAGCTATTTGTGAAACTGCTTTGTGATGTGTGGATTCATCTCACAGTTGAACATTTCTTTTGATTCAATAGTTTGGAAGCAGAGTTTCTGTAGAAGCTTCAGAAAGATGAAGCAAATATCTTCAGATAAAACATGAAAGAAGCTATCTGAAAAACTGCTTTGTGATGTGTGCATTCACCTTACAAAATTAAACATTTTTTTGACCTTGCAGATCAGAAACACTTTTTTTATAGAATCTGTGAGGTGATATTTCGGAGCTCATAGAGGTCTATTGTAAAAAAGTGAATATTCCCAGATAAAAAACTAGAAAGTACCTCTCTCTGAAACTGCTTTGTGATTTGTGGATTCAACTCACAGAGTTAAACATTTCTTTTGTTTCAGCAGGTTGGAAAAACTGTTTTTGTAGAATCTGCAAAAGACATTTTGAAGTGGATTGAGGCCCATGGTGAAAAAGTGAATATTTCCAGATGAAAACTAGAAAGAAGCTATCTAAGAAACTGCTTTGTGATATGTGAATTCACCTCACAGGTTTGAACATATCTTTTGATTCAGCTGTTTCAAAGCAGAGTTTTTGTAGAATCTTCAAAAGGACAAAGTAAATATCTTCAGATTAAGCATGATAGAAGCTATCTGAAAAACTGCTTCATGATGTGCACATTCATCTCACAGAATTAAACCTTTTTTTTTTGACCTAGCAGATCAGAAACACTTTTTCTTGTAGAATCTGCAAGGTGATATTTGGGAGCTCATAGAGGCCTATTGTAAAGAAGTTAATATTCCCAGATAAAAAACTAGAAAGTACCTCTTTCTGAAACTGTTTGTGATTTGTGGATTCATCTCACAGAGTTAAACATTTCTTTTGATTCAGCAGGTTGGAAAAACTGTCTTGGTAGAATCTGCAAAAGACATGTTGAAGTGGATTGAGGCCCTTGGTGGAAAAGTGAATATTTCCAGGTGAAAATTAGAAAGAAGTTATCTGAGAGATGGCTTTGTGATATGTGCATTTATCCTACAGAGTTAAACCTTTCTTTTGATTTTGTAGTTTGGAAATGCAGTTTTTTGTATAATCTGTAAAAGGACATTTGGGAGTGCATTGAGGCCTATGGTGAAAAAGCAAATATCTTCAGATAAAAACTTGAAAGAAGCTAACTGAGAAACTGCTTTGTGATATGTGGATTCACCCCTCAGAGTTAAGCCTTTCTTTTGATTCAGCAGTTTAGAAAAACTGTTTTGGTAAAATCTGTGAAAGAACATTTGGTAGCAAATTGAGGCCTGTGGCAAATAAAGGAATATCCCCAGTTAAAAATTAGAAAGAAGCTATCTGTTAAATGGCTTTGTGATGTGTGGATTCGTTTCAAAGAGTTAAACCATTCTTTTCATTCAGCAGTTTGAAAACACAGATTTTATAGGATCTGTGGAGGGACATTTGAGAGCTCATTGAGACCTATGGTAAAGAAGTGAATATCCCCAGATAAAAACTAGAAAGAAGCTCTCTGTGAAACTGCTTTGTGATGTTTGGATTCATCTCACAGAGTAAAACTTATCTTTCATTCTGTCTTTCAGATTCTGTGAAGGGACATTTGGGAGCTCATTGAGGCCAAAGGTGAAAAATCAAATATTTTTAGATAAAAACTAGAAAGAAGCTATCTGATGAAAGGCTTTGTGATGGGTGCATTCATCTCACCGATGTAAACATTTCTTTTGATTCAGTACTATGGAACCCCTTTTTTGTAAAATTTGCATAAGGACATTAGCACATTGAGGGCCATGGTGAAAAAGCAAATATCTTCAGAAAAAAACTTGAAAGAAGCTATCTGAGAAACTGCTTTGTGATGTGTGGATTCACTTCACAGTGTTAAACCTTTCTTTTATTCAGCATTTTGGAAACACTGGATTTGCACAATTTTAGATAGGGGATTTGGGAGTGAATTGAGGCCTATGGTGAAAAAGCAAATATCCCCAGATGAAAACTAGAAGAAAGCAATATGAGAAACAGCTTTGTGATCTGTGGATTCATCTTACAGAGTTCAGACTTTCTTTTGATTCAGCAGTTTCAAAAAATAGTTTTCATATAATCTGCAAAAGGACATTTAAGAGCACTAAGAGGAATATGGTGAAAAAGCAAATATCTTCAAATACAAACTTGAAAGAAGATATTTGAAAAACTGCTTTGTGATGTGTGCATTCATCTCACAGAGTTAAACCTTTCTTTTGATTCAGCAGTTTGGAAACAATGTTTTGCAGAATCTGTGAAGAGACATTAGGGATCTCATTTTGGCCAGTGATGAAAGTGAATATTTCCAGAAAAAAATTAGAAAGAAACTGTCTCAGAAACTACTTTGTGATGTGTGCATTCATCTCATGGAGATAAAATTCTGTTTTGATTCAGCACTTTGGAAACACTGTTTTTGTAGAATCGGCATAAGGACATTAGAGAACTCATTGAGGACTATGGTGAAGATGCAAATATCTTCATATAAAAACTGTAAATAACCTATATGAGAAACTGCTTTGTGATGTTTGGATTTATCTCACCGAGTTTAACCTTTCTTTCAATTCAGCAGTTTGGAAACTCTGTTTTTGTAGAATATGCGAAAGGACATTGGAGAGCTCATTGAGGCCTATAATGAAACAGTGAATATCCAGAGAAAAACACTAGAAAGAAGCTATCTGAGAAGCTGCTTTGTGATGTGTGGATTCTTCTCACAGAGTTAAACCTTTCCTTTTATTCAGTAGTTTGGAAACACCATTTTTATGGGAATATGTGAAGGGACATTTGGGAACTCATTGAAGCCTATGGTAAATAAGTGAATATCTCCAGATAAAAAGTAGAAAGAAGTTCTTTGTGAAACTGCTTTGTTAATTTTGGATGCATTTCACAGAGTTAAACCTATATTTTGATTCAGCAGTTTGGAAAAACTGTTATTGTAGAATCTGCTAAAAGACATTTGGGAGTGCATTGATGCCTATGGTTAAAAGGTAAATATCTTAAGAAAAAAACTTGAAAGAACTATCTGAGAAACGGTTTTGTGTGGTGTGGATTCACCCCTCAGAGTTAAGCCTTTGTTTTGATTCAGCAGTTTGGAAACACTGTTTTTGTAAAATCTGTGAAAGAACATTTGGGAGTGCATTGAGGCCTATGGTGAAAAAACAAATATCCCCCCAGGTAAAAATTAGAAAGAAACTATCTGTTAAACTGCTTTGTGATGTGTGGATTCATCTCACACTGTTTAACATTTCGTTTTATTCAGCTCTTTGGAAACACTGTTTTTATATCCTCTGTGACAGGATATTTGGGAGTCTCATTGTGGCCTATGTTAAATAAGTGAATATCCCCAGATAAAAACTAGAAACAAGCTCTATGTAAAACTGCATTGTGATGTTTGGATTCATCTCACAGAGATAAGCCTATTTTTTGATTCAGCAGTTTGGAAACACTGTTTTTACAGAATCTGCAAAGACACATTTGGGAGCTCATTGAGGCCAAAGGTGAAAACGTGTGTATTTCCAGATAACAACTCAAAGGAAGCTATCTGAGAAACTGCTTTGTGATGTGTGCATTGACCTCAGGGAGTTAAAACTTTATTTTGATTCAGCACTTTGAAAACACTTTGCAGTGAGCTGAGATTGTTCCATTGCCCTCCATCCTGGGTGACAGAGTGAGACACCATCTCAAAAAAAAAAAAGAAAAAAAAACCAGTTTTTGTGGAATCTGTGTAAGGACATTATGGAATGCATTGAGCCCTATGGTGAAAAAGCAAATATGTTCAGATAAAAACTTGAAAGAAGTTATCTGAGAAGCTGCTTTGTGATGTGTACATTCATCTCAAAGAGTTAAAACTTTCTTTTGATTAGGCAGTTTGGAAACCCTGTTTTTGTAAAATCTGCAAAAGGACATTTCAGAGCACATTGAGGCCTATGGTGAAAAGGCAAATATCTTGAGATAAAAACTTGAAATAAGCTATCTGAGAAACTGCTTTGTGATGTATGCACTCATCTCACAGAGTTCAACCTTTCTTTTGATTCAGCAGTTTGGAAACACCGTTTTTATACAATCTGCAAAGGGACATTGGGAGCTCATTGAAGCCCATGGTAAAGAAGTGAATATACTTGGACAAAAACTACAAAGAACCTCTCTGTGAAACTACTTTATAATGTTCAGATTCATGTCACAGAGTTAAACCTATCTTTTGATTCAGGAGTTTGAAAACACTGTATTTATAGAATCTTCAAAAAGACATTTGGGAGTGCGTTGAGACCTATCATGAAAAAGCAAACATCCTAAGATAAAAACTTGAAACAATCCATCTGAGAAGCTCCTTTGTGATGTGTGCATTCATCTTATAAAGTTAAACCTTTCTTTTTCATTCAGCAGTTTGGAAACACTGTTTTTGTAATATCTGCAGAAGCACATTTGGGAGCACATTGAGGCCTATTGTGAAAAACCAAATATTCCCAGATGAAAACTAGAAAGAAGCCATCTGAGAAACTGCTTTGTGATGTGTGGATTCATCTCACAGAGTTAAATGTTTCTTTTCATTCAGCAGTTTGGAAACAATGGTTTTGTAGAATCTGCAAAACGAAATTTGGGAGCAAATTGAGGCCTATGGTGAAAAAGCAAATATCTTCATATAAAAACTTGAAAGAAGCTATCTGAAAAACTGCTTTGTGATGTGAGCATTCAACTCACAGAGTTAAACCTTTCTTTTGATCCAGTAGTTTGTAAACTGTTTTTGCAGAATCTGTGAAGGGATATTTGGGAGATCATTGAGGACAATTGTGATAAAGTGAATATTTCCAGATAAAACCTAGAAAGAAGCTATCTGAGAAACTGCTTTGTGATGTGTGGATTCATCTCAAAGAGTTAAACCTTTCTTTTGATTCAGCAGTTTGGAAACACTGTTTTTGTAGAATCTGTGAATGAACATTTGGGAGTCAATTGAGGCCTACGGTGAAAAAGAAAATATCCCCAGACAAAAAAGAGAAACAAGCTATCCTTGGAAGTGCTTTGTTATGTGCACATTCATCTCACAGAGTTAAACCATTCTTTTGATTCAGCAATTTGGAAACGCTGTTTTTGTACAATCTTAGAAAGGAAATTTGGGAGCACATTGAGGACTATGGTGAAAAAGGGATTATTTCCATATAAAAACTAGAAAGAAGCTATTTGTGAAACTACTCTGTGATGCGTGTATTCATCTCATAGAGATAAAATTTTCTTTTAGTTCAGCAGTTTGGAAACATTGTTTTTGCAGAATCTGTGAAGGGATATTTGGGAGCTCATTGAGGCCAGTGGTGAAAAGTGAATATTTCCTTATAAAAACAAGAAAGAAGATATCTGAGAAACTGCTTTGTGATATGAGCATTCATCTCACAGAGTTAAACCTTGGTTTGCATTCAGGGCTTTGGAAACATGGTTTTTGTGGGATCAGCTTAAGGACATTAGGGAGCACACTGAGGCCTATGGTAAAAAAGAAAATATCTTCAGATAAAACTTTAAAGAAGCTATCTGAGAAACTGCTTTGTGATGCATGCATTCATCTCACAGAAATAAGCTTTTCTTTTGATTCAGCAGTTTGGGAACACTGTTTTTGTAGAATCTGTGTAAGGACATTAGGGAGTACATTGAGGCCTATGGTGAAAAAGCAAATATCTTCAGAAAAAAACTAGGAAGAACCTATCTGAGAAACTTCTTCATGATATGCGCATGCATCTCACAGAGTTAAACTTTTCTTTTGATTCAGCAGTTTGGAAACACTGTTTTTGTAGAATCTGCAAAAGAAAAATTTTGTAGCTCATTGAGGTCTATGGTGAAAAAGCAAATATCTTCTGATAAAGAGTGGAAAGAAGATATCTGAGAAACTGCTTGGTGATATATGCACTCATCTCAAAGAGTTAAACCTTTCCTTTGATTCAGCAGTTTGGAATCAAAATCAAATCAGTTCGTAAAAGGATGTTTGGGAGCGCATTGAGGCCTATGGTGAAAAAGTGAATATCCCCAGATAAAAACTAGAAAGAAGTTATCTGTGGAAGTGCTCTCTGATTTGTGCATTGATCAAACAGAATTAAAACTTTCTTTTTATTCAGCAGTTTGGAAAAACTTCTTGTACAATCATAGAAAGGACACTTAGGAGCACATTGAGGCATATACTGAAAAAGTGAATATTTCCATATGTAAACTAGAAAGAAGCTCTTTGAGAAACTGCATTGTGATGTGCACATTCATCTCATAAAATTAAATTTTTGTTTTGATTCATCACTTTGACAGCACCATTTTTGTAAAATCTGCATAAGGACATTTTTAAGGGTTGAGTCCTCATGTGAAAAAGGAAATCTTTAATAATAACTTGAAAGAACCTATCTGAGAGACTGCTTTGTTATGGGTTGATTAATCTTACAGAGTTAAACCTTTCTTTTGATACAGTAGTTTGAAAACACTCTTTTTGTAGAATCTGTGAAAGGATATTTGGGAGTGCATTAAGGCCTATGGTTAAAAAGCAAATATTTCCATATAAAAACTAGAAAGAAGCTATATGTGAAACTGCTTTGTGATGTGTGTATTAATCTTACAGAGGTACACTTTTCTTTTGATTTGACAGTTTAGAAACACTGTTTTTGTAGAATGTGTGAATTGACATTTGCTAACTCATTGAGGCCAATGGTGAAAAAGGGAATATTTCCAGATCAAAATTAGAAAGAAGCTGTCTGTGAAAGCCCTTTGTGATGTGAGCTTTCATCTCACAACGTTAAACCTTTCTTTTGATTCAGCAGTCTGGGAACGCTACTTTTGTAGAATCTGCGTTAAGGACATTAGGGAGCACATTAAGGCCTAACATAGAAAACTGAATATCTTCAGGCAAAAACTTGAAAGAAGCTATATGAAAAAGTGCTTTGTGATGTCTACATTCATCTCACCAAGTTAAACCTTTCTTTTCATTCATCAGTTTAGGCAACTCTGTTTTTGTAAAATCTGCAAATTACATTTGGGGGTGCATTGAGGCCTATGGTGAAAAACCAAATATCTTCAGATAAATACTAGAAAGAAGATATCTGAGAAACTGCTTTGTGATGTGTGGATTCATCTCACAGAGTTAAACCTTTCTTTTGTTTCAGCAGTTTGGAAACACTCTTTTTGTAGAATCTGTGAAAGGACGTTTAGGAGTGCACTGAGGCCTATGGTGAAAAAGCAAATATCTTCAGATAAAAACTTGAAAGAAGCTATCTGAGAAACTGCTTTGTGAAGTGTGCATTCATCTCAAAGAGTTAAACCTTTCTTTTGATTCATCAGTTTGGAAACCCTGTTTTTGTAAAATCTATGAAAGAACATTTGGGAGTGCTTTGAGGCCTTGGGCAAAAAAGCAAAAATTTCCAGATAAAAACAATAAAGAAGCTGAGAAACTGCTTTATGATGTGTGGATTCATGTCACAGAGTTAAACCTCTTTTTATTCAGCAGTTTGGAAACACTGATTTTGTGGAATCTGCAAAAGGACGTTTAGGAGCGCCTTAAGGCCTATGGTGAAAAAGTGAATATTTCCATATAAAAATGAGAAAGAGGTTATTTGTGAAACTGCTTTGTGATGTGTGCATTCATATCACAGAGGTAAAACTTTCTTTTGACTCAGCAGTTTGGAAACACTGTTTTTGTACGATCCTAGAAAGGACATTTGGGAACACATTGAAGCCTATGGTGAAAAAGAGAATATCCCTAGATGAAAACAAGAAATAAGATATCTGAGAAACTGCCTTGAGATGTGTGGATTAATCTCACAGAGTTAAACCTTACTTTTGATTCAGCAGTGGAACCACAGTTTTTGTACAATCCTAGAAAGGACATTTGGGAGCACATTGAGGACTATGGTGAAAAAGCAAATATCCACAGATGAAAACCAGAAAGAAGCTATTGGAGAAAATGTTGTGTGATGCGTGCATTAATCTCACAGATTTAAACCTTTCTTTTGATTCAGCAGTTTGGAAACAGTGTTTTTGTAGAATCTGTGAATTGACATTTGGGAGCTCATTGTGACCAATGACGTAAAAGCAAATATTTCCAGACGAATCTAGAAAGAAGCTATCTTAGAAACAGCTTTGTGATGTGTGCATTCATCTCATGGAAGTAAAATTTTGTTTTGATTCAGCACTTTGGAAACACTGCTTTTGTAGAATCTGTGAAAGTACATTATGGAGCTCATTGAGGCCTTGATGAAAAAGCAAATATCTTCAGATAAAAGCTTGAAAAATGGTATCTGAGAGGCTGCTCTGTGATGTATGCATTCATCTCACAGAGTTAAACCTTTCTTTTGATTCAACAGTTTGGAAACACTGTTTTGGTAGAATCTGTGAAAGGATATTTTGGATTGCATTGAGGCCTAGGGTGGAAAAGTAAATATTTCCAGAAAAAAAGCTTGAAAGAAGCTATCTGTGAAACTGCTTTGTGTAGTGTGCATTTATCTCGCAGAGGTAAATATTTCCTTTGACTCAGAAGTTTGGAAACACAGTTTTTGTAGAATGCTAGAAAGGACATTTGGGAGTACATTGAGGCCTATAATGAAAAAGCAATTATTCCAAGATGAAAATTAGAAAGAACCTATCTGAGAAACTGCTTTGTGATATGTGGATTCTCCTCACACAGTTAAACGTTTCTTTTGATTCAGCAGTTTGGAAACACATTTTTATATAATATGTGAAAAGACATTTGGGAGTGCATTGAGGCGTATGGTGAAAAAGCAAATATCTTCAAATAAAAACTTGAATGAAGGTATCTGAGAAACTGCTTTGTGATGTGTTCATTCATCTCAGAGTGTTAAAACTTTCTTCTGATTCAGCAGTTTTGAAATATCGTTTTTGCATAATATGTGAAGGGACAATTTGGAGCTCACCGAGGCCAATAGTTTAAAAGCAAATATTTCCAGATAAAAATTAGAAAGAAGCTATCTGAGATACTGCTTTGTGATGTGTGCATTCACCCCATGGAGTTAAACTTTTATTTTGATTCAGCACTTTGGAAATACTGTTTTTGTAGAATCTGCATAAGGACATTAGGGAGTGCATTGAGGCCTAAGGTGAAAGAGCAAATATCTTCAGATAAAAGCTTGAGAGAAGTTATCTCAGAAACTATTGTGTGATGTGTGCATTTGTCTTATAAAGTTAAACCTTTGTTTTGATTCAACAGTTTGGAACCACTGTTTTTGTAGAATCTGTGAAAGTACATTTGGGAGTGCTTTGAGGCCTATGGTGAAAAAGTGAATATCCCCAGATGAAAACCAGAAAGAAGCTATATGAGAAACTGCTTCCTAATGTGTGTACAAAAAAACACTATTTTTGTACAACCCTAGACAGGACATTTGGGATTGCATTGAGGTCTATGGTGAAAAAATTAATATCCCCACAAGGAAATTAGGAAGAAGCTATCTGAGAAACTGCTTTGTGACCTGTAGATTTACCTCATAGAGTCAAACCTTACCTTTCATTCGTCAGTTTGGAAATACAGTATTTGTATAATTTGTGAAAGGACATTTGGGAGTGCATTGAGGCCTATGCTCTAAAAGCAAATATCTTCAGATAAAACCTTAAAAGAAGTTATCTCAGAAACTGTTTTGTGATGGGTACATTCATCTCACAGAGTTAAAAATTTCTTTTGATTCTACAGTTTCTTCAGATACAAAGCCAATATCTTCAGATAAAAGCTGGAAAGAAGCTATCTGAGAAATTGCTTTGAGATGTGTGCATTCATCTTACAGAGTTAAACCTTTCTTTTGATTCAGCAGATTGGAAACCCTGTTTTTGTACAATCTAAGAAAGAACATTACGGAGCACATTGAGGCCTATGGTGAAAAATGGAACAACCCCAGATGAAAACTAGAAAGAAGCTATCTGAGAAACTGCTTTGGGATGTGTGCATTCATCTCACAGAGTTAAACCCTTCTTTTGATTTAACAGTTTGGAAACACTAATTTTGCAGAATCTGCAAAGAGACATTTGGGAACTCAATGCGGCCAATGGTGAAAAAAGCAAATTTTTCATGATAAAATCTAGAAAGAAGCTATCTGAGAAAATTCCTTGTCATGTGTGCATTCATCTCACAGAGTTACATGTTTGCTTTGATTCAGCACTTTGGAAACACTGCTTTTGTAGTATCTGCATAATGATATTGGGGAGTGCATTGAGGCCTATGGTGAAAAAGCAAATATCTTGAGATAATAGCTGGTAAGAAGCAATCTGAGAACTGCCATGTGATGTGTGCATTCATGTCACAGAGTTAAACCTTTCTGTTGATTCAGCAATTTGGAAACACTGTTTTTGGAGAATCTGTGAAAGGACATTTAGGAGTGCATTGAGACTATGGTGAAAAACCAAATATCTTCAGATAAAAACTTGAAAGAAGCTATCTGAGAAACTGCTTTGTGATGTGTGCATTTGTCTCACAGAGGTAAACCTTTCTTTTGATTCGGCAGTTTTGAAACACTGTTTTTGCAAGATCTGTGAAAGGACATTATGAAGCACATTGAAGCTAACAGTGAAAAAGTGAATATTTCCAGATAAAAAGTAGAAAGAAGGTATCTGAGAAAATGCTTTCTGATGTGTGCTTTCTCCCACGGAGTTAAACATTTGTTTTCATTCAACATTTTGGAAGCACTGTTTTGTAGAATCTGCATAAGGACATAAGATAGCTTATGGAGGCCTATGGTGAAAAAGCATATATCTACAGATAAAAGCTTGAAAGAAGCTATCTGAGAAGCTGCTATGTGATGTGTGTGTTCATCTCACAGAGTTTAACCTTACTTTTGAGTCAGAAGTTTGGAACAATTGTTTTTGTAAAATCTGTGAATTGACATTTGGGAGTATATTGAGGCATATGGTGAAAAAGAAAATATCTTCAGGTAAAAACTAGAAGGAAGCTTTCTGATAAAGTGCTTTGTGATGTGTGGATTCATCTCACAGAGTTAAAGCTTTATGTTGATTCAGCAGACTGGAAACACAGTTTTTGTACAATCATCAAAAGGACATTTTGGTGCATATTGATTCCTATGGTGAAATAGTAAATGTCTTCAGATAAAAACTTGAAAGGAGCTATCTGAGAAATTGCTTTGTGTTGTGTGGTTTCATCTCACAGAATTAAATCTTTGCTTAGATTCAGCAGTTTGGAAACATTATTTTTGTAGAACCTGTGAAAGGATATTTTGGAGCACATTGAGGCCTATGGTGAAAAAGAAAATAAATTCAGATAAAAACTTGAAAGAAACCATCAGAAAAACTGCTTTGTGATGTGTGCATTCATGTCACAGAGTTGAAACTTTCTTTTGATTCAGCAGTTTGGAAACCATGTTTTGGCATAATCTGCAAAAGGACATTTGGGAGCACATTGAGGCCTAAGGTGAAAAAGTGAATATTTCCATATAAAAACTAGAAAAAAGCTATCCGTAAAACTGCTTTGTGATGTGTGCATTCATCTCACAGCATTAAACCTCTCTTTTGATACAGTAGTTTGGAAATACTGTTTTTGTACAATTCTAGAAAAGACATTTCGGAACACATTGAGGCCTATGGTGAAAAACGAAATGTTTGTGGATGAAAACTAGAAAAAGCTATTTAAGAAATTGCTTTGTGATGTGTGCATTCATCTCACAGAGTTATATCTTTCTTTTAATTCAGCCGTTTGGAAACACAGTTATTGTATAATCTGTGAATGGACATTTGAAAGTGGCTTGAGGCCTATGGTGAAAAAGCAAATATATTCAGATTAAAAATTAGAAAGAAGGTATCTGAGAAACTACTTCGTGATGTGTGCATTCATATCACAGAGTTCAACCATTCTTTTGATTTAGCAGTTTGGAAACACTGTTTCTGCAGAATATGAAAAGGGATATTTCAGATCTCATTGATGGCAATGGTGAAAAAGTGAATATTTCCAGATAAAAACTTAGAAAGATGCTATCTGAGAAACTGCTTTGTCATGTGGACATTCATCTCATGGAATTAAACTTTTGTTTTGATTCAGCACCATGGAAACACAGATTTTGTAGAATTTGCTTAAGGACATTAGGGACCACATTTAGTCCTATTGTGAAAAAAATATCTTCAGATAAAAGCTTGAAAGAAGCTATCTGAGAAACTACTTTGTGATGTGAGCATTCATCTCACAGAGTTAAAAATATTTTTTGATTCAGAAGTTTGGAAAAACTGCTTTTGACGTATCTGTGAAAAGTCTTTTGGGAGTGTATTTAGGCCTATGGTGTAAAAGCAAACGTATTCAGATAAAAATTTGAAAGAAACTTCTGAGAAGCTGCTTTGTGCTGTGTGCATTCATCTCACAGTGTTATCCTTTCTTTTGATTCAGCAGTTTGGAAACACTGTTTTTGCAGAGTCTGTGAAGGGCGATATGGGAACCCATTGAGGTCAATGGTGAAAAAGTGAATATTTCTAGATAAAAACTAGAAAGAAGCTATCAGATAAAATGCTTTGTGATGTGTGCATTCATCTCATAAACACTTCTTTTGATTCAGCTGTTTGGAAACATTGTTTCAGAAAGGACATTTGGGAGAACATTGAGGCCTATGGTGAAAAAGCAAACATTTCCATATAAAAACTAGAAAGAAGCTATGCGAGAAACTACTCTGTGATGTGTTCATTCAACTCACAGAGTTAAACCTTACCTTTCATTCAGCAGTTTGGAAAGAAAGTTTTTGTATAATCTATGAAAGGACGTTTGAAAGCCCATTGAGGCCTTTTGTGAAAAAGCCAATATTTTCAGATAAAACTTTGAAAGAAGCTATCTGAGAAGCTGCTTTGTGATGTGCTCATTCATCTCACAGAGTTAAACTTTCCTTTTGTTTCGGCAGTTTGGAAACAATGTTTTTGCAGAATCTGTGAAGGGACATTTGGGAGCTCATTGAGGCCTTCGGTGAAAAAGCAAATACTTCCAGATAAAAACTAGAAAGAAGCAATCTGAGAAATGGCTTTGTGATGTTTTCATTCATCTCATGGAGGTAACTTTTGTTTTGATTCAGCACTTTGGAAACACTGTTTTTGTAGAATCTGCATGAGGACATTAGGGAACACATTTAGTCCTATGGTGAAAAAGCTAATATCTTCAGAGAGAAACTTGAAAGAAGCTATCTGAGAAACTTCTTTGTGAAGTTTGCATTCATCTCACAGAGTTAAACGTTTCTTTTGATTCAGCAGTTTGAAAACACTTTTTTTTTGTAGAATCTGCAAGAGAATATTTGGGAGTGCATTGAGGCCTAAGGTGAAAAAGTGAGTATTTCCACATGAAAACCATAAAGAAGCTACCTGAAAAACTGCTTCATGATGTGTGCATTCATCTCACAGAGTTAAACCTTTCTTTTGATTCAGTAGTTTGGAAACACTGTTTAAGTGGAATCCTAGAAAGGACATTTGAGAAAGCACTGAGGCCTATGGTGAAAAAGCGAATATCCCCAGATGAAAACTAGCAAGAAGCTATCTGAGAAACTGTTTTGTGATGTGTGGATTTATCTCACAGAGTTAAATCTTTCTTTTAATTCAGCAGTTTGGAAACACTGTTTTTGTATAATATATAAAGGACATTTGGGAGCACATTGACTCTTTTGGTGAAAAAGCTAATATCTTCAGATAAAACCTTGAAAGAAGCTATCTGAGAAACTGCTTTGTGATGTATTCATTCATCTCACAGAGTTAAAACTTCTTTTGATTCATCAGTTTGGAAACACTATTTTTGTAGAATCTGTGTAATGACATTAAGGAACGCATTGAGGCCTATTGTGAAAAAGCTAATATCTTCAGATAAAAACTTCAAAGAGACGAGACTATCTGAGAAACTGCCTTTTGATGTGTTCACTCACCTAACAGAGTTAAACCTTTCTTTTGATTCAGCAGTTTGGAAACACTGTTTTTGAAGAATCTGCAAAAGAACATTTGGGAGCTAATTGAGGTCAATGGTGAAAAAGGAAATATCCACAGAAAAAAAACAAGAAAGAAGCTGTCTGTGAAACTAATTTGTGATGTGTGGATTCATCTCACAGGGTTAAAAATATCTTTTCATTCGGCAGTTTGGAAACACTGTTTCTGTTAAATTTGCAAAAGGACAGTTGGGAGCTCATTGAAGTCAATGGTGAAAAAGCGAATATCCCCAGAGCAAAACTAGAAGGAAGCTATCTGAGGAACTGCTTTGTGATGTGTGCATTCATCTCACTGACTTACATCTTTCTTTTGATTCAGCAGTTTGGAAACACTGTTTTTGAAGTATCTGTGAAAGGACATTTTGGAGCTCATTGAGGCCTATGATAAAGAAGCTAATATCTCCAGATAAATATTAGAGAGAAGCTCTCTGTGAAACTGTGTTTTGTGATGTGCAGATTCATCTGACAGAGTTAATCCTATCTGTTGCAGGAATTCAGGGACCCAGAAAGGAAAGACTAGCTGAAGCTGTTGCTGTGGGATATAAATTTTGAAGATCTCATTTTTAATATGGACATTTATCAGTTCCCAAATAATACTTTTATACTTTCTTTTGCCTGTCTTTATTCTAATGTCTTAATCCTGTTATGTTCATTAGCTGAGTATGTATGCCACATCAGGACCACTGTGATAATTGTGTTAACTGTACAAATTGATTGTAAAACGTGTGATTGAACAATATGAAATCAGTGCACCTTGTAAAAGAACAAAATAACAGCTATTTTTAGGAAACAAGGGAAGACAACCATAAGCTCTGACTGCCTGCACGGTTGGGCAAAAGAGCCATATTTTTCTTACTGCAGAGAGCCTATAAATGGACATCCAAGTAGGGAAGATATTGCTAAATTCTTTTCGTAGCAAAGAATATTAATATTCATACTCAGAAAGGAATGCATTCCTGGGGGGAGGTCTATAAACGGCTGCTCTGGGAATGTCTCTCCTATGGGCTTGAGATAAGGACTGAGATATGCCCTGATATCCTGTAGTGCCCTCAGGCTTATTAGGGTGGGGAAAAACTCTGCCCTGGTAAATTTGTGGTCAGACTGGTTCTCTGCTCTCAAACCCTGTTTTCTGTTGTTTAAGATGTTTATGAAGACTATACATACACTGCTGAACATAGACCATTATCAGGAGTTCTACTTTTGCCCTTTGTCCTGTTTATTCAGAAGCATGTGATCTTTGTTCTACTTTTTGCCCTTTGAAGCATGGGACCTACTCCCTGTTCTTACACCCCCTCCCCTTTTGAAACCCTTAATAAAAAACTTGCTGGTTTGAGGTTCAGGTGGGTATCACAGTCCTTCCATTATGTGCTGTCACCCTCGGCAACCCAGCTGTAAAATTCCTCTCATTGTATCCTTTCTCTTTATTTCTCAGCTGGCCAACACTTATGGCAAATAGAAAGAACCTACATTGAAATATTGTGGGTGGGTTCCCCAATACCTATCTTTTGATTTAGCAGTTTGGAAACATTGTTTTTGTAGAATCCACTGAGAGATATTTCCTAGGTCATTCAGGTCAATGGTGAAAAAGTGAATATCCCCAGATAAAAACTGGAAGGAAGCTATCTGATAAACTGCTCATTATGTGTGTATTCTACTCACAGTGTTAAAAATATGTTTTCATTCAGCTTTCTGGAAACACTGTTTTTGAAGAATCTGAAAAAGGACATTTGGGAGCTCATTGAGGCCAAAGGTGATGAAGGGAATATCTCCAGATAAAAAGAAGAAAGAAACTGTCTGTAAAACTGCTTTGTGATGTGTGAATTCATCTCACAGAGTTAAACCTATGTTTTGATTCAGCAGTTTGGAAACACTGTTTTTGTAGAATCTGCAAAAGAACAGTTGGGAGCTAATTGAGGCCATTGTTGAAAAAGTAAATATGCCCAGATAAAAACTAGAAAGAAGTTGTGTGAGAAACAGCTTTGTTATTTATGCATTCGGCTCACACCTTTAAATCTATGTTTTGATTCAGCAGTTGGAAACACTGTTCTTGTAGAATCTGAGAAAGGATATTTGGGAGCTCATTCAGGCCTATGGTGAAAATGTTAATATCTCAACTTAAAAGCTAGAAAGAAGCTATCTGAGAAACTGCTTTGTGATGTTTTCATTCATCTCACAGATTTAAACATGTCTTTTGGTTCAGTGGTTTGGAAACCGTTTTTGTAGAATCTGGTAAGAGACATTTGGGAGCTCATTGAGGCCTATGGTGAATAAGAGAATATCTCCAGAAAGAAACTAAAGACAAGCTCAGTGAAAAACTCCTTTGTGATGTGTTCAGTCGTCTCACAGAGCTAAGCCTGTCTTTTGATTCAGCAGTTTGGAAACACTGTTTTTGTGCAATAGGTGAAAGGACATTTGGCAACTCATTGAGGCCAAAGGTGAAAAAGCCAATATCCCCAGATAAAAACTAGAGATGCTATGTAAGAAACTGCTTTGTTATGAGTGCATTCATTTAACTGAGTTACACCTATGTTTTGATTCAGCGTTTTGGAAACTCTGTATTTGTAGAAACTACAAAAAGACATTTGGGAGCTCATTGAGGCCAATGGTGAAAAAAACAATATCCCCAGATATAAACTAGAAAGAAGTGATGTGAGAACTGATTTGTTATGTTTGCATTGAGCTATCACAGATAAATCTGTGTTTTTATTCAGCACATTGGAAAATCTGTTTTTGTAGAATCTGCTAAAAGACATTTGAAGCACATTGAGGTTTATGGTGAAAAAGCAAATATCTCTAGTTAAAAACTAGAAAGATGCAATCTGAGAAACTGCTTTGTGATGTGCAGAGTCATCTCTTAGAGATAAACCTTTCTTTGGATTAGGAAGCTTGGAAATGCCATTTTTATGGAATGTGCAAAACGACATTTGGTAACACGTTGAGGCCAATGATGAAAAAGCGACTATCTCCAGAGAAAAACAAGAAGGAAGCTGTCTGAGAAACTGCTTGGTGATGTGTGCATTCATCTCACAGAGGTAAATCCTTCTTTTGATTCAGCAGATTGGAAACACTGTCTTCGTAGAATATGCGAAAGGATATTGGGGAATGCTTTGAGGCTTATGGTGGAAAAGCAAATATCTTCAGATAAAAACTTGACAGAAGCTATTTGAGAAACTGCTTTGTTACATGTGCATTCATCTCACAGTGTTAAACCTTTCTTTTGGTTTGGCAGTTTGGAAACACTGCTTTTAAAGTATCTGCAAAAGGACATTTGGGAGCTCATTGACCACATAGTGGGAACTAAAGCACTCCTCAGCAAATGTAAAACAACAGAAATTATAACAAACTGTCTCTCAGACCACAGTGCAATCAAACTAGAACTCAGGGTCAAGAAACTCACCCAAAACTGCTCAACTACATGGAAACTGAAAAACCTGCTCCTGAATGACTACTAGGCACATAACAAAATGAAGGCAAAAATAAAGATGTTCTTTGAAACCAATGAGAACAAAGACACAATATACCAGAATATCGGGAACACATTTAAAGCAGTGTGTAGAGGGAAATGTATAGCACTAAATGCCCACAAGAGAAAGCAGGAAAGATAATAAATGGACACCCTAACATCACAATTAAAAGAACTAGAGAAGCAAGAGCAAACACATTCAAAAGCTAGCAGAAAGCAAGAAATAACTAAGATCAGAGCAGAACTGAAGGAGATAGAGACACAAAAAAACCTTCAAAAATCAATGAATCCAGGAGCTTGTTTTTTGAAAAGATCAACAAAACTTACAGACCACTAGCAAGAGTAATAAAGAAGAAAAGAGAGAAGAATAAAATAGATGTAATAAAAAATGATAAAGGGGATATCACCACTGACCTTACAGAAATACAAACTATCACCAGAGAATACTATAAACACCTCAATGCAAATAAACTAGAAAATCTAGAAGAAATTGACAAATTCCTCGACACATACAACCTCCCAAGACTAAACCAGGAAGAAGTTGAATCCCTGAATAGACCAATAAGAAGCTTTGAAATTGAGGCAGTAATTAAGAGCCTGCCAACTAAAAAAAGGCCAGGACCAGATGGATTCACAGCCGAATTCTACCAGAGGTACAAGGAGGAGCTGGTACCATTCCTTCTGAAAATATTCCAATCAATATTAAAAGAGGGAACCCTCCCTAACTCATTTTATGAGACCAGCATCATCCTGATACCAAAGCCTGGCAGAGACACAACAATAAAAGAGAATTTTAGACCAATATCCCTGGTGAACATCGATGCAAAAGTCCTCAGTAAAATACTGGCAAACCAAATTCAGCAGTGCATCAAAAAGCTTATCCACCGTGATCAAGTGGGCTTCATCCCTGGGATGTGAGGCTGTTTCAACATATGCAAATCAATAAACGTAATCCATCATATAAACAAAATCAAAGACAAAAACCACATGATTATCTCAATAGATGCAGAAAAGACCTTTGACAAAATTCTACAACACTTCATGCTAAAAACTCTCTATAAATTAGGAATTGATGGGACATATCTCAAAATAATAAGAGCTACTCATGACAAACCCACAGCCAATATCATACTGAATGGGAAAAAACTGGAACTATTCCTTTTGAAAACTGGCACAAGACAAGGATGCCTTCTCTCACTACTCCTATTCAACATAGTGTTGGAAGTTCTGGCCAGGGCAATCAGGCAGGTGAAGGAAATAAAGGGTATTCAATAAGAAAAAGAGGAAGCCAAATTGTCCCTGTTTGCAGATGACATGATTGTATATCTAGAAAACCCCATCATCTCAGCCCAAAATCTCCTTAAGCTGATAAGCAACTTCAGCAAAGTCTCTGGATGCAAAATCAATGTGCAAAAATCACAAGCATTATTATACACCAATAATAGACAAACAGATAGCTAAATCATGAGTGGACTCCTATTCACAATTGCTTCAAAGAGAATAAAATACCTAGGAATCCAATTTACAAGGGATGTGAAGGAGTTCTTCAATGAGAACTGCAAACCACTACTCAATGAAATAGAAGAGGACACAAATAAGTGGAAGCACATTCCATGCTCATGGGCAGGAAGAATCAATATTGGGAAAATGGCCATACTGCCTAAGGTAGTTTATAGATTCAATACCATCCTCATCAAGCTACCAGTGACTTTCTTCACAGAATTGGAAAAAACTACTTTAAAGTTCATATGGAACCAAAAAAGAGGCTGCATTGCCAAGTCAGTCCTAGCCAAAAGAACAAAGCTGGAGGCAGCACGCTACCTGACTTCAAACTATACTACAAGTCTACAGTAACTAAAACAGCATGGTAGTGGTACCAAAACAGAGATATAGACCAATGCAACAGAAGAGAGCCCTCAGAAATAATGTCACACATCTACAACCATCTGATCTTTGACAAACCTGACAAAAAACAAGAAATGGGGAAAGGATTCCCTATTTAATAAATGGTGCTGGGAAAACTGGCTAGCGATATGTAGAAAGCTGAAACTGGATCCCTTCCTTACACCTTATGCAAAAATTAATTCAAGATGGATTAAAGACTTACATTTTAGACCTAAAACCATAAAAACCCTAGAAGAAAACCTAGGCAACACCATTCAGGACATAGTCATGGGCAATGACTTCATATCTAAAACACCAAAACCAATGGCAAGAAAAGCCAAAATTGACAACAAAAGCCAAAATTGGGATCTAATTAAACTGAATAGCTTCTGCACAGCAAAATAAACTAGCATCAGAGTGAACAGGCAACCTACAGAAAGGGAAAAAAATTTTACAATCTACTCCTCTGACAAAGGGCTAATATCCAGAGTCTACAAAGAACTCAAACAAATTTACAAGAAAAAAAAAACAGACAACCCCATCAAAAAGTGGGTGAACAATAGGAAAAGACACTTCTCAAAAGAAGACACTTATGCAGACAAGAGACACATGAAAAAATGCTCATCATCACTGGCCATCAGAGAAATGCAAATCAAAACCACAATGAGATACCATCTCACACCAGTTAGAATGGAGATCATTAACAAGTCAGGAAACAACAGATGCTGGAGAGGATGTGGAGAAATAGGAACACTTTTACACTGTTGGTGGGACTGTAAACAAAGTTCAACCACTGTGGAAGACAGTGTGGTGATTCCTCAAGATCTAGGACCAGAAATACCATTTGACACAGCCATCCCATTACTGGATATATACCCAAAGGATTATAAACCATCCTGCTATAAACACACAAACCCATGTATGTTTATTGTGGCACTATTCACAATAGCAAAGATTTGGAACCAACCCAAATGTCCACAATGGTAGACTGGATTAAGAAAATATGGCACATATACACCATGGAATACTATGCAGCCATAAAAAAGGATGAGTTCATGTCCTTTGTAGGGACATGGATGAAGCTGGAAACCATCATTCTCAGCAAATTATTCCAAGGACAAAAAAACCAAACACCGCATGTTCTCACTCATAGGTGGGAATTGAACCATAAGAACGCTTCTATAGAGGAAGAGGAAAATCACACACCAGGACCTGTTGTGGGGTGTGGGAAGGGGGAGGGTATAGCATTAGGAGATATACCTAATGTAAATGATGAGTTAATGGGTGCAGCACATCAACATGGCACATGTATACATATGTAACAAACCTGCATGTTGTGCACATGTACCCTAGAACTTAAAGTATAATACTAAAAAAATCCATGTTTTGATGCAGCAGTTTGGAAACTTTGTTTTTGTAGAATCTGCTAAGAGGCAGTTGGGAGTTCATTGAAGGCTGTGGTAAAAAAGTGAATATCTCCAGTTGAAAACTGGAAAGAAGCTATCTGAGAAACTGCTTTGTGATGTGTGCTTTCATTTGGTGGCACATGAAAGTCTATGGTGAAAAAACAAATATTTCCATATAAAAACTAAAAGAAAGCTATCTGTGAAACTGCTTTGTGAAGTGTGTGTTCATCTTACAGAGTAAAATCTTTGTTTTGATTCAGCACTTTGGAAACACTGTTTTTGTACAATCCTAGAAAGGACATTTGGGAGTGCATTGAGAGCTATGGTGAAAAATCAAATATCTCCAGATGCAAACTAGGAAGAAACTATAAGAGAAACTGCTTTGTGATGTGTGCATTCACCTAATAGATTAGGACATTTATTTTGATTCAGCAGTTTGGAAACACTGTCTTTGTAGAATCTGCATAAGGACATTAGGGAGTGCATTGAGGCTTATGGTGAAACAGAAAATATCTTCAGACAAAAACTTGAAGGAGGCTACCTGAGAAACAGCTTTGTGATGTGTGGTTTCATCTCCCAGTGTTAAAACTTTCTTTTGATTCAGCAGTTTGAAAACACTGTTTTTGATGAAAATGCAAAAGGACATTTGGGAGCTAATTGAGGCAAATGTTGAAAAAGTGAGTATTCCCAGATTAAAAACTAGAAAGAATGTATGTGAGAAACAGCTTTGTTATGTGTGCATTCAGCTCACAGAGTTAAATCTATGTTTTGATCCAGCAGTTTAGAAACACAGTTTTTGTATAATCTGCGAAAGAACATTTGAGAGTACACTGAGGCCTTTGGCAAAAAGCATAAATTTTCTGATAAAAATTTGAAAGAATCTATCTGAGGAACTGAGTGATGTGTTCACTCAGTTGACAGAGTTAAAACTGTCTTTTAATTCAGCAGTTTTGAAACACTGTTTTTGCAGAATTTGTGATGTGACATTTGGGAGGTCATTGAGACCAATGGTGAAAAAGTGAATATTTCCAGATAAAAACTAGAAAGAAGCTGTCTGAGAAACTGATATGTGATGTATGCATTCATCTCATGGAGTTAAACATTTGTTTTGGCTAAGCATTTTGGAAACACTGTTTTTGTAGGATCTGTGTAAGGACATTAGTTGGCGCCTTGAGACCTATGGTGAAAAATAAAATATCTTAAGATAAAAGCCTGAAACTAGCTATCTGAGAAACTGCTTTGTGAAGTGTGCATTCATCTCACAGAGTTAAACTTTTCTTTTGATTCAGTAGTTTGGAAACAAACTGTTTTTGTAGAACCTGCAAAAAAATTTTGTAGTGTTTTGAGCCCCATGGTGAAAAAGCAAATATCTTCAGGTAAAAATTTGAAAGAGGCTATCTGAGAAACTGCTTTGTGCTCTGTGGATTAGTCTCAAAGTTAAACCTTTCTTTTGATTCAGCAGTTTGAAAACACCATTTTTGCAAAATCTGCAAAAGGACATTTGGGAGCACATTGAGGCCTATGGAGAAAAAGGAAAAATCTTCAGATAAAAACTTAAAAAAAGCTATCTGAGAAACTGCTTTGTGATGTGTTCATTCATCTCACAGAGTTAAACCTTTCTTTTGATTCAGCAGTTTGCAAACACTGTTTTTGCTGTATCTGCAAAGGGACATTTGGGAGCTCATTGAGGCCAATGGCAAAAAAGTGAATATTTCCAGATAAAAACTAGAAAGAAGCTATCTGAGAAACTGCTTTGTGATGTGTGCATTCATCTAACAGAGGTAAATCTTTCTTTTGATTCAGCAGGTTGGAAGCACTGCTTTTTAGAATCAGCCAAAGGACATTTGGGAGCACATTGAGGCCTAAAGTGTAAAACTGAATATCCCCAGATTAAAACTAGAAAGAAGCTATCTGAGAAACTGCTTTGTAATGTGTGCATTTATCTCACAGAGTTAAACCTATTTTTTGATTCAATAGTTTGGAAACACTGTTTTTGCAGAATCTGCAAAGGGACACTTGGGAGCTCATTGAGGTCAACGGTGAAAAAGGGATAATTTACAGATAAAGAGTATGAAGAAACTATCAGAGAAACTGCTTTGTAATGTGTGCATTCATCTCACAGAGTTAAACCTTTGTTTTGATTCAGTACTTTGGAAACACTGTTTTTGTAGAATCTGCATAAGGACATTAGGGAGCGGTTTGAGTCCTGTGGTGAAAAAGAAAATATCTTCAGATAAACACTTCAAAGAAGTTGTCTGAGAAACTGCTTTGGGTTGCTTGCATTCATCTCACAGAGATAAACCTTTCTTTTGATTCAGCAATTTGGATACACTTTTTTTGTAAAATCTGTGAAAGGACATTTGGGAGAGCATTGCGACCTATGGTGAAAAAGTGAATATTTCCATATAAAAACTAGAAAGAAGCTATCTGAGAAACTGCTTTGTGATGTTTGCATTCATCTCACAGAGTTAAACCTATCGTTTTATTCGGCAGTTTGGAAACACTGTTTATGTAAAATCCTAGAAAGGACATTTGGGACAGCATCAAGGCCCATGGTGAAAAAGCAAATATCCCCAGATGAAGAGTAGAAATAAGCTATCTGAGAAACTGTTGTGGGATGTGTTCATTCATCTCATAGAGTTGAACCTTTGTTTTCATTCAGCAGTTTGGAAACACTGTTTTTGCTGTATCTGCGAAGGGATATTAGGGAGCGCATTGAGGCCAATGGTGAAAAAGTGAATATTTCCCGATAAAAACTGGAAAGAAGCTATCTGAGAAACTGCTTTGTGTTGTTTGCATTCATCTCACAGAATTAAACCTATGTTTTGATTAAGCAGTTTGGAAACACTGCTTTTGAAGAATCTGCAAAAAGACTTTTGGGAGTGCCTTAAGGCCTATGGTGAAAAAGCAAATATCTTCAGATAAAAATTTGAAAGAAGCTTTCTGAGAAACTGCTTCATGCTGTGTGCATTCATCTCACAGAGTTATCCTTTCTTTTGCTTCAGCTGTTTGGAAACACTGTTTTTGCAGAATCTGCAAAAGGACATGCGGGAGTTCATTGAGGCCAGTAGTGAAAAAGCAAATATTTTGAGAAAAACTAGAAAGAAGCTATCAGAGAAACTGCTTTGTGATGTGTGCATTCGTCTCACAGTGTTAAACCTTTCTTTTCTTTCAGGATTTGGAAACTTTTTTTTTTTTTTGAATCTGCTAAAGGATATTTGGGAGCGCATTGTGGCCTATGGTGAAAAAGTGAATATTTCCAGAGAAAAACTAGAAGAAGCAGTCTGAGAAACTGATTTGTGATGTTTGCATTCATCTCATGGAGGTAACATTTGTTTCGATTCAGCACTTTGGAAACATTGCTTTTGTGGAATCTGTGTTAAGGACATTAGGGAGCGCATTGAGGCCTATGGTGAAAAAGCAAATATCCTCAGAGAAAAACTTGAAAGAATCTACCTGAGAAACTTCTTAATGAAGTTTGCATTCATCTCACAGAATTAAACGTTTCTTTTGATTCACCACTTTGGAAACTTTTTCTGTAGAATCTGAGATAGGACATTTGGGAATGCATTGAAGCCTATGGTGAAAAGGCACATATTTCCATATGAAAAGCAGAAAGAAGATATCTGAGAAACTGCTTTGTGATGTGTACATTCATCTCACAGAGTTAAACCTTTCTTGTGATTCAGCACTTTGGAAACACTCTTTATGTAGAATCCTAGAAAGGACATTTGGGACAGCATTGAAGCCTAAGTTGAAAAAGTGAATATCTCCAGATGAAAATTAGCAAGAAGCTATCTCAGACACTGCTTTGTGATGTGTGCATTTATCTCAGAGACTTAAACCTTTCTCTTTATTCACTAGTTTGGAAACACAATTTTTGTACAACCTGCAAAGGACACTGCGAGCACATTGACACCTTTAGTGAAAAAGCTAATATCGTCAGATAAAAACTTGAAAGAAGCTCTCTGAGAAACTGCTTTGTGATGTATTCATTCATCTCTCAGAGTTAAACCTTTCTTTTGATTCAGCAGTTTGGAAAGACTGTTTTTGTAGAATCTGCGTAAGAACATTAGGGAGCACCTTGGGTCCTATGGTGAAAAAGCAAATATCTTCACATAAAAGTTTGAAACAATGTATCTGAGAAACTGCTTTGTGGTGTCTGCATTCATCTTACAGAGTTAAACCTATCTTTTGATTCAGCAGGATGGAAACACTGTTTTTGTAGAATCTAGGAAAAGACATTTGGGAATGCATTGAGGACTATGGTGATAAAGCAAATATTTTCAGATAAAAGCTAGAAAGAAGCTATACGAAAAAGTGCTTTGTGATATGTGCATTCATTTGACAGAGTTAAATCTTTGTTTTCATTCAGCACTTTGGAAACACTGTTTCTGCAGAATCTGCAAAGGGACGTTGGGGAGCGAATTGAGGCCTGTGGTGAAAAAGTGAATATTTCCATAAAAAAACTAGAAAGAAGCCATCTGAGAAACTACTGTGTGATTTGTTCATTCAACTCACAGGCTTAAATCTTACTTTTCATTCAGTAGCTTGGAAAGACAGTTTTTATATTATCTGCCAAAGGACATTTGAAAGCACTTTGAGGCCTATGGTGAAAAAGCAAATATTTTCAGATAACACTTTGAAATAAGCTATCTGAGAAACGGCTTTGTGATGTGTGCATTCATTTCACAGAGCTAAATCTTTCTTTTGATTCAGCAGTTTGGAAATATTGTTTTCATAGACTCTGATGAAGGACATTTGGGAGCACATTGAGGCCTATGGTGAAAAGGCGAATATCCACAGATGAAAACTAGGAAGACGCTATCTGAGAAACTGCTTTATGATGTATATATTCATCTCACATAGCTAAACCTTTCTTTTGATTCAGCAGTTTGTTAACACTTCTTTTGTAGAATCTGAGAGAGGACATTTGGGAGTGCAGTGAGTCCAGTGGTGAAAAAGTGAATATTTCCATGTAAAAACTAGAAAGAATCTATCTAAGAGACTGCTTGTGATTCAGGGATTTATGTCACAGAGTTAAACCTTTCTTTTGATTCAACAGTTTGGAAACACTCTTTATGTAAAATCCTAGAAAGGACATTTAGGACAGCATTGAGGCCTATGGTGAAAAAGCAAATATCCCCAGATGAAAACTAGCAAGAAGCTATCTGAGAAACTGGTTTGTGATGCAGGTATTTGTCTCATAGAGTTAAACCTTTCTTTTGATTCAGCAGTTTGGAAACACACTTTTGTACAATCTGCAAAAGACATTTGGGAGCGCATTGATGCCTATTGTGAAAAAGCCAATATCTTCAGATAAAAACCTGAAAGAAGCTATCTGAGAAACTCCTTTGTGGTGTGTTCACTCATCTCACAGAGTTAAACCATTCTTTTGAATCAGCAGTTTGAAAACACTGTTTTTGGTATCTGGAAAGGGACATTTGGAAGTTCATTGAGGCCAATGGTGAAAAAACAAATATTTCCAGATAAAAACTTAAAAGAAGCCATCTGAGAAACTACTTTGTGATGTGTGCCCTCATCTCATGGAGTTAAACCTTTGTTTTGATTCAGCACTTTGGAAAGACTGTTTTCATAGAATCTGCATAAGGGTATTAGGGAGCCCATTGAGACCTATGGTGTAAAAGCTGGTATCTTCAGGTAAAAGCTTGAAAGAAGCTATCTGAGAAACTGCTTTCTGAGGTGTGCATTCATCTCAATGAGTTAAAAGTTTTTTTTCATTCAGCAATTTGGAAACACTGCTTTTGAAGAATCTGTGAAAAGACATTTGGGAGTGCATTGAGGCCTATGGTGAAAAAGCAAATATCTTCAGATAAAAATTTGAAAGAAGCTATCTGACAAAGTGCTTTGTGATGTGTATATTCATCTCACACAGTTACACCATTCTTTTGATTCAACAGTTTGGAAACTTTTTTTTGTAGAATCTGTGAAAAGACATTTGGGAGCGCTTTGAGGCTTATGGTGAAAAAGCAAATATCTTCAGATAAAAACTTGAAAGAAGCTATCTGAGAATCTGCTTTGTGACATGTGTATTTATCTCACAGTGTTACACCATTCTTTTGATTCACCAGTTTGGAAACACTGTTTTCATGGAATCTGTGAAAGGACATTTGGGAGCGCTTTGAGGCTTATGGTGAAAAAGCAAATATCTTCAGATAAAAACTTGAAAGAAGCTATCTGAGAATCTGCTTTGTGACTTGTGCATTCTTCTCACAGAGTTAAACCTCTCTTTTGATTCAGCAGTTTGGAAACACTGTTTTCTAGAGTCTGCAAAAGAACATTTGGGAGCTCATTGAGACCAATAGTGAAAAAGGAAATTTCCCCAGAAAAAAAAAACTGGAAAGAACCTATGTGAGAAACAGCTTTGTTATGTGTGCATTCAGTTCTCATAGTTAAACGTATGTTTTGATGAAGCAGTTTGGTAACACTGTTATTGTGGAACGTGAGAAAGTACATTTGGGAGCTCATTCAGGCCAATGGTGAAAAAGCAAATATCTCTAGTTAAAAAACAGAAAGAAGTTATCTGAGAAACTGTCTTGTGATGTGTGTATTCATCTCATAGAGTTAAACATTTCTTTGGATTCATCAGTTTAGAAACACTGTTTTTGTGGAATATGTGAAGGGACATTTTGTAGTGCTTTGAGGCCTATGGTGAAAAAGCAAATATCTCCAGACAAAAACAAGAAAGAAGCTATCTGAGAAACTGTTTAGTGATGTGTGCATTCATCTCACAGAGTTTCACCATTCTTTTGAATCAGCAGTTTGGAAACACTGTTTTCATAGAATCTGCGAAAGGACATTTGGGAGCGCTTTGAGGACAATGGTGAGAAAGCAGTTATCTCAAGATAAAAACTAGAAAGAAATTATTTGAGAAGCAGTTTTGTTATGTGTGCATTCAGCTCATACAATTAAAACTATGTTTAATTCAGCAGTTTGGTAACACCATTTGGAAACACTGTTTTATAGTGTCTGCCAAAGAACATTTGGGAGCTCATTGAGGACAATGTTGCAAAAGCAGTTATCCCCAGATAAAAACTAGAAAGAAGCTTATTTGAGGAGCAGCTTTGTTATGTGTGCATTCAGCTCACACAATTAAACTATGTTTTTGATTCAGCAGTTTGGAAACACTGTTTTCGTAGAATCTGTGAAAGGACATTTGGGAGCACTTTGAGGATTATGGTGAAAAAGCAAAAGTCTTCAGATAAGCTATCTGAGAAACAGCTTTGTTATGTGTGCATCCAGCTCACACAGTTAAAACTATGTTTTGATTCAGCAGTTTGGAAACACTGTTTTTGTAGAATCTGAGAAAGGACATTTGAGAGCTCCTTCAGGCCAATGGTGAAAAAGCAAATATCTCAAGTTCAAAACCAGAATAAAAAATTTCTGGTTGAAAACTAGAAAGAAGTTATCTGAGAAATTGCTTTGTGATGTGTGTATTCATCTCATAGAGTTAAACCTTTCTTTAGATTCTGCAGTTTGGAAACACTGTTTTTATAGAATCCCTATAAGGGCATTCTGTAGTGCAGTGAGGCCTATGGTGAACAAGGGAATATCTACAGAAAAAAATAAGAAAGAAGTAATCTGAGAAACTGTTTTGTGATGTGTGCATTCATCTCACAGAGTTACACCATTCTTTTAATTCAGCAGCTTGGAAACACTGTTTTCATTGAATCTGCAAAAGGACATTTGGGAGCACTTCGAGGCTTATGGTGAAAAAGCATATGTCTTCAGATAAAATCTTGAAAGAAGCTATCTGAGAAACAGCATTGTGACATGTGCATTCATCTCACACATTTAAACCTATGTTTCCATTCAGCAGTTTGGAAACACTGTTTTTGTCCATTCTGTGAATGAACATTTCAGAGCTCATTGAGGCCAATGGTGAAAAAGCAAATATCCCCAGATAAAAACTAAAAAGAAGCTCTTTGAGAAACTGCTTTGTGATGTGTGCATACATCGTACATAGTTACACCATTCTTTTGATTCAGCAGTTTGGAGACACTGTTTTTGTAGAATCTGAGAAAGGACATTTGGGAGGTCATTCAGGCCTATGGTGAAAAAGAAAATATCTGTTCTTAAAAACCACAAAGATTTTACCTGATAAACTGCTTTGTGACATGTGTATTCACCTCATATTGTTAAAACTTTCTTTGGATTCAGCAGTTTGGAAACACAATTTTTGTAGAATATGTGAAGGGATATTTTGGAGGGCATTGATGCCTATGGTGAAAAAGTTAATATCTCCAGACAAAAACAAGAAATAAGCTATGAGAAACTGATCTGTGATGTGTGCTTTCATCTCACAGAGTTAAAGCTTTCTTTTGATCCAGCATTTTGAAAGAGTGTTTTCATAGAATCTGTGAAAGGACATTTGGGAGCTAATAGAGTTCAATGGTGAAAATGCAGATATCACCAGATAAAAAGTAGAAGGAAGCTATGAGAAAAACATCTTTGTTATGTGTGCATTCATCTCACACAGTGAAACCTATGTTTTGATTCACCTTTTTGGAAACACTGTTTTTGTAGGATCCATGAAGGACATTTGGGAGTGCTTTCAGGGCAATGGTGAAAAAGTGAATATATCCAAACAAAAACAAGAAAGAAGATATCTGAGAAACTGCTTTGTGATGTTTGCATTCATCTCACAGAATTATACCATTCTTTTGATTTGATTAAGCAGTTTGGAAACACTGTTTTCATAGAATCAGCAAAAGGACATTAGGGAGCTAATAGAGTTCAATGGTGAAAAAGCAAAATATCACCAGATAAAAGGTAGAAAAAAACTATGAGAGAAACAGCTTTGTTTTGTGTGCATTCAGCTCACACAGTTAAACCTATGTTTTGATTCAGCAGTTTGGAAACCCTGTTTTTGTAGAATCTGAGAAAGGACATTTGGGAGCTACTTCAGGCCTATGGTGAAAAAGCAAATATCTTCAGTTAAAAACCAGAGAGAAGTTATCTAAAATTGCTTTGCAAAATGTGTATTCATCTCATAGTGTTAAACCTTTGTTTGGGTTCAGCAGTGTGTAAACACTGTTTTTGTAGAATCCCTGAAGGGACATTTGGGAGTGCTTTGAGGCCTGAGGTGAACAAGCAAATATCTCCACACAAAAATAGCAAAGAAGCTATCTGAGAAACTGCTTTGTGATGTGTGCATTCTTCTCACAGAGTTACACCATTATTTTATTTCAGCAGGTTGGAAAAACTGTTTTTGTAGAATCTGCAAAAGGACATTTGAGATTGCTTTGAGGCTAATGGTGAAAAAGCAAATGTCTTCAGATAAAAACTTGAGAGAAGCTATCTGAGAAACTGCATTGTGATATGTGCATTCAACTCACAGAGTTAAACCTTTCTTTTGACTCAGAAGTTTGGAAACACTGGTTTCATAGAATCTGTGAAAGAACATTTGGGAGCTCATTGAGGCCAATGGTGAAAAAGCAAATATCCCCAGTTAGAAACTAGAAACAAGCTGAGAGAAACAGCTTTGTTATGTGTGCATTCAGCTCACACAGTTAAACCTATGTTTTGATTCAGCAGTTTGGAAACACTGTTTTTGTAGGATCTGATAAAGGGCATTTTGGAGCTCATTCAGGTCTTTGGTGAAAAAGCAAATATCTCCAGTTAAATACCAGAAAGAAATTATCTGAGAAACTGCTTTGTGATGTGTGTATTGATGTCAGAGAGTTAACCTTATCTTTGGATTCAGCAGTTTGGAAACGCTGTTTTTGTAGAAACCGTGAAGGGCCATTTGGTAGCACACTGAGGCCTAGGGTGAAAAAGCAAGTATCTCCAGACAAAAACAAGAGAGATGGTCTCTGAAAAACTGCTTTGTGATGTGTGCATTTATCTTGTTGTGGGAAGTCAGGAACCCTGAATGGAGGGACCAGCTGGAGCCATGCAGAAGAAAGTAAATTGTGAAGATTTCATGGACAATTATTCAGTTCCCAAATAAAACTTTCATAATTTCTTATGCTTGTCTTACTTTAATCTCTTAATCCTGTTATCTTCATAAGCTGAGGATGTACATCACCTCAGGATCACTATGATAATTGTGTAATCTGTACAAATTGACTGTAAAATATGTGTGTTGGAAGAATATGAAATCAGTGCACCTTGAAAAAGAACAGAATAACAGCGAATTTTAGGGAACAAGGAAAGAAAACCATAAGGTTTGACTACCTGCATGGTCAGGCAAAAAGAGCCATATTTTTCTTCTTGCAGAGAGCCTATAAAAGGATGTGCAAGTAGGGAAGATAATGATAAATTCTTTTCCTAGCAAGGAATATTGATATTAATGCTCTGGGAAAAGAATTCCATTTCTGGGGGAGGTCTATAAATGGCCACTCTGGGAATGTCTGTTCTATGCGGTTGAGGTAAGGACTAGATATGCCCTGGTCTCCTGCAGTACCCTCAGGCTTAGTAGGGTGGGGAAAAACCTCACCCTGGTAAATTTGAGGTCAAACCGGTTCTCTGCTCTCAAACCCTGTTTTCTTTTGTTAAGATGTTTATCAAGACAATACGTGCACTGCTGAACATAGACCCTTATCAGGAGTTTCTGATTTTGCCCTTGCTGTGTTTCCTCTGAAGCATGTCATCTTTGTTCTCCTTTTTGCCCTTTGAAACATGTGATCTTTGTGACCTACTCCCTGTTCTTACACCCCTCCCCTTTTGAAATCCTTAATAAAACCTGCTGGATTTGTGGCTCAGGTGGGCATCAAGGTCCTACCAATATGTGACATCACCCCTGTTGGCCCAGTTATAAAATTCCTCTCTTTGTACTCTTTTTCTTTATATCTCAGACTGACTGACACTTATGGAAAATAGAAAGAACCTATGTTGAAATAGTGGGGGTGGGTTCCTACGATATCATCTCACAGAGTTACACCACTCTTTTGATTCATCAGTTTGGAAACACTGTTTTTGTAGAATCTGTGAAAGAACATTTGGGAGCTCATTGAGGCCAATGGTGAAAAAGCAAATATCCAGAGACATAAACTAGAAAGAAGCTATGTGAGAAACAGCTTTGTTATGTGTGCATGCATTCAGCTTGCACACTTAATCCTATGTTTTCATACAGCAGTTTGGAAACACTGTTTTTGTAGAATCTGAGAAATGACATTTGGAAACTCATTCAGACCAATGGTGAAAAAGTGAATATCTCCAGTTAAAGACCGGAAAGAAGTTACCTGAAAAACTGCAGTGTAATATTCGTCTCATATAGTTAAACTTTTCTTTGTATTCAGCAGTTTGGAAACACTGTTTTTGTAGAATCCATGAAGAGACATTTGGGAGTGTATTGGGGCGTATGTTGAACAAGCAAATATCTCGACAAAAACAAAAAAGAAGCTATCTGAGAAACTGATTTGTGATGTGCGCATTTATCTCACAGAGTTACACCACTGTTTTAATTCAGCAGTTTGGAAACACTGTTTTCATAGAATCTGCGAGAGGACATTTGGAAGTGCTTTGAGGCTTATAGTGAAAAAGCAAATATCTTCAGATAAAAACTTGAAAGAAGCTGTCTGAGCAACAACTTTGTTATGTGTGCATTCAGCTCACACAGTAAAAGCTATGTTTTAATTCAGTAGTTTGGAAACACTGTTCTTGTAGAATCTGAGAAAGGATATTTGGAAGCTCATTCAGGCCTACTGTGAAAAAGTGAATATCTCCAGTTAAACACCAGAAGAAGTTACCTGAAAAATGGCTTTGTTTTGTGTGCATTCATCTCATAGAGTTAAACATTTCTGTGGATTCAGCAGTGTGGAAACACTGTTTTTGTAGATTCCCTAAAGGGACATTTGGGAGTGCATTGAGGCCTATGGTGAACAAGCAAATATCTCCAGGCAAAAACAAGAAAGAAGCTATGTGAGAAACTGCTTTTTGATGTATGCATTCACCTCACAGGGTTGCACTATTTTCTTGATTCAGTAATTTGGAAACACTGTTCTTATAGAATCTACAAAAGGACATTCGTTTGCACTTTGAGGCTTACAGTGAAAAAGAAAATGTCTTCACAAAAAAACTCAAAAGAAGCTATCTGAGAAACTGCATTGTGATTTGTGTATTCATCTCACAGATTTAAAGCTTTCTTTTGATTCAATAGTGTGTAAACAAACACTGTTTTTGTAGAATCTGTGAAAGAACATCTGGGAGCTCATTGAGGCCAATGGTGAAAAAGCAAATATCCCCAGATAAAAACTAGAAAGAAGATATTTGAGAAACGGCTTTTTTATGTGTGCATTCAGCTCACATGGTTAAATCTATGTTTTGATTCAGCAGTTTGGAAACACTGTTTTCTTAGAATCTGCAAAAGGACATTTGGGAGCTCATTCAGGTATATGGTGAAAAAGTGAGAATCTCCAGACAAAAAGAAGAAATAAGCTATCTGAGAAACTGCTTTATTGTGTGTGCATTCATCTCAAAGAGTTACACCATTCTTTTGATTCAGCAGTTTGGAAACACTATTTTTGTAGAATCTGCGAAAGGACATTTGAGAGCTAATGGAGTTCAATGGTGAAATAGCAAATGTCACCAGACAAAAAGTAGTAAGAAGTTATGTGAGAAACAGCTTTGTTATCTGTTCATTCAGTTCACACAGTTAAACCTATGTTTGGATTCAGCAGTTTGGAAACACTGTTTCTGTAGAATATGAGACAGGACATTTGGAAGCTCATTCAGGCCTATGGAGAAAAACGAATATCTCCAGTTCAAAACCAGAAAGAAGTTATCTCAGCTACTGCTTTGTGATATTCATCTCATAAACTTATACCTTTCTTTGGATTCAGCAGTTTGGAAACATTGTTTTCATAGAATCTGCGAAAGTACATTTGGGAGTGCTTTGAGGCTTATGATGAAAAACCTGATATCTTCAGATAAAAACTTGAAAGACTCTATCTGAGAAACTGTTTTTTAGAGGGGTGCTTTCATCCCACAGAGTTAAACCTTTCTTATGATTCAGCAGTTAGGAAACATGTTGTTGTAGAATCTACAAATGAAGATTTGGGTTCTCTCAGGCCAATGGTGAAAAAGCAAATAACCCAGATAAAAACTAGAAAGAAGCCTTTTGAGAAGCAGCTTGCTTATGTTTGCATTCAGCTCACACAGTTAAACCTACGTTTTCATTCTGCAGTTTGGAAACACTGTTATTGTAGAATCTGAGAAGTGACATTTTGAAACTCATTCAGGCCATTGGTGAAAAAGTGAACATCTCCTGTTAAAAACCAGAAAGAAGCTTTCTGAGAAACTGTTTTGTGATGTGTGCATTCGTCTCATAGAGTTAAACCTTTCTTTGGATTCAGCATTTAGGAGTCACTGTTTTAGTAGAATCTGTGAAGGGATATTTGGGAGGGCTTTGATGTCTATGGTGAAAACGAATATCTCCAGACAAAAACAAGAAAGAATCTATCTGAGAAATTGCTTTGTGATGTGTGCATTCATCTCACAGAGTGACACCATTCTTTTGATTCATCAGTTTGGAAACACTGTTCTTGCAGAGTCTGCGAAAGAACATTTGGGAGTACTTTGAGGCTTATGGTGAAAAAGCAATTAACTTCAGGTAAAAACTTGACAGAAGCTATGTGAGAAACTGCATTGTGATGTGTACATTCATCTCACAGAGTTAAACCTTTCTTTGATTCAGCAGTTTGGAAACACCATTTGTGTAGAATCTGTGAAAGAACATTTGGGAGCTCATTGAGGCCAATGGTGAAAAAGGAAATATCCCGATTAAAAACTAGAAAGAACGTATGTGAGAAACAGCATTGTTATGTTTGCGTTCAGCTAACACAATTAAACCTATGTTTTGATTCAGCTGTTTGGAAACACTGTTTTTGTAGAATCTGAGAAAGAAGATTTCAGAGCTCCTTCAGGCCAATGGTGAGAAAGCAAATATCTCCTGTTAAAAATCAGAAAGATGTTATCTAAGGAACTGCTTTGGGATGTGTGTATTCATCTCATCGGTTTAAACCCTTCTTTGGATACAGCAGTTGGGAAAAACTGTTTTCATAGAATCTGCGAAAGGACATTTGGGAGCGCTTCAAGGCTTATGTTGAAAAAGCAAATGTCTTCACATAAAAACATGAAAGAAGCTATCTGAGCAACTGCATTGTGACGTGTGAATTCATCTCACAGAGTTAAAATTTTCTTTTCATTCAGCAGTTTGGAATCACTGTTTTTGTAGAATCTGCAAGAGAACATGTGGGAGTTCATTGAGGCCAATGGTAAAAAAGCAAATATCCCCAGATAAAAACTAGAAAGAAGCCATTTGAGAAACAGGTCTTTTTATGTGTGCATTCAGCTCACACAGATAAACCTATATTTTGATTCAGCAGTTTGGAAACACTGTTTTTGAGGAATCTGCAAAAGGACATGTAGGAGCGCTTTGAGGCTTATGATGAAAAAGCAAATATCTTTAGATAAAAACTTGAAAGAAGCTATCTGAGAAACAACTTTGTTATCTTTGCATTCAGCTCACACAGTTAAACCTATGTTTTTATTCAGCAATTAGGAAACACTGTTTTTGTGGGATCTGAGAAAGGACATTTGGGAGCTCATTCAGGTCTATGGTGACAAAAATAATATCTGCAGACAAAAACAAGAAAGAAACTATCTGAGAAAGAGCTTTGTGATGTGTGCATTCATCTCACAGAGTTACACCATTCTTTTGATTCAGCACTTTGGAAACACTGTATTCTTAGAATCTGTGAAAGAACATTTGGGAGCACTTTGAGGCTTACAGAGAAAAAGCAAATGTCTTCAGATAAAAAGTTGAAAGAAGCTATCTGAGAAACTGCATTGTGACGTGTGCATTCATTGCACACAGTTAAACTCTTCATTTGATTAATCAGTTTGGAAACATTATTTTTTTAGGATCTGCAAAAGAACATTTGGGAGCTCATTGAAACCAATAGTGAAAAAGAAAATATCCCCAGACAAAAACTAGAAAGAAGTTTATTTGAGAAACAGATTTGTTGTTTGTGCATTCAGCTCACACAGTTAAACTTATGTTTTGATTCAGCAGTTTGGAAACACTGTTTTTGAAGAATCTGCGAAAGGACATTTGGGAGCGCTTTGGGGCATATCTTGAAAAAGCACATATCTTCTAGTAAAAACTTGAAAGAAGCTATCTGAACAACAATTTTGTTATGTGTGCATTCAGCTCACACAGTGAAACCTAGGTTTTGATTCAGTGGTTTGGAAACATTGTTTGTGTAGAATCTGAGAAAGGACATTTGGGAGCTCATTCAGGCCTATGGTGACAAAGCAACTATCTCCAGACAAAAACAAGAAAGAATCTATCTGAGAAACTGCTTTGTCATGTGTGCATTCATCTCACAGAGTTACACCATTCTTTTAAATCTGCAGTTTGTAAGCACTATTTTTGTAGAATATGCGAAAGGACATTTGGGAGTGCTTTGAGGCTTATGGTGATAAAGCAATTATCTTCAGATAAAAACTTGAAAGAAGCCATCTGAGAAACTGATTTGTGATGTGTACATTCATTTTACAGAGTTAAACCTTTCTTTTGATTCAGCAGTGTGGAAACATTGTTTTTGTAGAATCTCTGGAAGGACATTTGGGAGCTCATTGAGGCCAATGATGAAAAAGCAAACATTCCCAAATAAAAACAAGAAAGAACCTATGTGAGAAACAGCTTTGGTATGTGTGAATTAAGCTCACACAGTTAAACCTATGTTTTGTTTCAGCAGTTTGGAAACACTGTTTTTGTACATTGTGCAAAAGGACTTTTGGGAGCACATTGTGGCCTGTGGTCAAAAAGAAAATATTTTCATATAAAAACTAGAAAGAATCCTTCTATGAAACTCCTTTCTGATGTGTGCAGTCATCTCACAGAGTTAAACCTTTCTTTTGATTGACAGTTTGGAAATACTCTTTTTGTACATTCTGCAAAAGGACATTTGGGAGCTCATTGAGGCCAATGGTGAAAACATGAATATCCCAATATAAAAACTAGAAGGAAGCTATCTGATAAACCGCTCTGTAATGTGTGTATTCATCTTACAGTGTTAAAGCTTACTTTTGATTCAGCAGTTTGGAAACACTGTTTTTGTGGAATCTGCATAAGGACATTTGGGAGTGCATTGCGGCCCATGGTCAAAAATAAAATATCTTCAGATAAAAACTAGAAAAAAGCTTTCTGTGAAACTTCTTTGTGATGTGTGCATTCATCTCACAGAGTTAAACCTTTCTTTTGATTTAACAGTTTGTAAACACTGTTTTTGTAGAATCTGTGAATTTACACTTGGGAGTGTATTGAGGCATCTGCTCAAAAAGAAAATATCTTCTGATAAAAATTAGAAAGAAGCTATCTGTGAAACTGCTTTGTGGTGTGTGCATTCATCTCACAGAAATTAAATCTTTCTTTTGTTTCAGCAGTTTGGAAACACTCTTTTTGTACATTCTGCAAATGGACATTTGGGGGCTCATTGAGGCCAATGGTGAAAAATTGTATATCTCAAGATAAAAACTAGAAGGAAGCTATCTGAGAAACTGCTTTAGATGTATGCATTCATCTCACTCAGTTAAACCTTTTTTTGGATTCAGTAATTTGGAAATACTGTTTTGTAGATTCTGCGAATGGACACGGGAGCACATTGAGGGCTACAATCAAAAGGAAAATATCTTCATATAGAAACTAGAATGAAGCTTTCTGTGAAACCCCTTTATGATATGTGCATTCATCTCACAGAGTTAAACCTTTCTTTTGATTCAGCAGTTTGTAAACAATGTTTTTGTACATTCTGCAAATGGACATTTGGGATCTCATTGAGGCCAATTGTGAAAAAGTGGATATCCCAAGATAAAAACTAGAAGTAGCTATCTGAGAAACCACTTTTTGATGTGTGCATTCATTTCACAGAGTTAAACCTTTCTTTTGATTCAGCAGTTTGGAAACACTTTTTTTGTAGAATCTCTGAATGGACATTTGGGGACTCATTGAGGCCAATGGTGGAAAAGCAAATACCCAAGATAAAAACTAGAAGGAAGCTATCTGAGAAACCACTTTGTGATGTGGGCATTCTTCTCACAGAGTTAAACCTTTCTTTTGATTTAGCAGTTTGGAAACACTTTTTTTTTTTTGTAGAATCTGCATAAGGACATTAGGGAACACATGGAGGCCTATGGTCAAAAAGAAAATATCTTCAGATAGAAACTAGAAAGAAGATTTCTGTGAAACTACCGTGTGATATGTGCATTCATCTCACAGAGTTAAACCTTTCTTTTCATTCAGCAGTTTGGAAATACTGTTTTTGTACATTCTGAGAATGGACATTTGGGAGCTCATTGAGGTGAATGGTGAAAAAATAAATATCTCAAAATAAAAACTAGAAAGATGCTATGTGAGAAACCGGTTTGTGATGTGTGCATTCATCTCACAGAGTTAAACCTTTGATTTGATACTGCAGTTTGGAAACACTGTTTTAATAGAATCTGTGAAAGGACATTTGGGAGCACATTGAGGCCTATGGTGAAAAAGGAAATATCTTCAGATAAAAACTAGAAAAAAGCTTTCTGCCAAACTGCTTTGTGATTTGTGCATTCAGCTCACAGAGTTAAATGTTTCCTTTGATTCAGCTGTTTGGAAACTGTTTTTGTACATTCTGCGAATGGACATTTTGACCTCATTGAGGCCAATGGTGAAGAAGGGAATACGTAAGACAAAAACTAGAAAGAAGCTATCAGAGAAATTGCTTTGCCATGTGTTCATTCACCTCACAGTGTTAAACCTTTCTTTTAATTCAACAGTTTGGAAACACTCTTTTTGTACATTCTTTGTATGGATATTTGGGAGCTTCTTTCAAAAAATGGTGACAAGCTGGAAAATTCCTTATCCATTGCTAAATAAGATTATTGAAAGAATTGTTTAGTACAAAGAAGATAGTGATCAGTAAAAGCTCCCAAAATTCTACACAGTGTGTTCAACAAAGTAGCTTTCAATCTCTTTTATCTTTGTGGGCAAGATAAATATTAGCCAGGTTATAGTGGACTTGTACATGTTACTAGCCTCATACCCTAATTAACTCTTGTATTAGGAGAATAGAAATTAAAGTCATGTTTTATGTTAAATATTCTATCATCAGCCTCTAGTTTCCTAGTCATGTCCTAACCTGAGATATCAAATAGGTACTTAAGTAAATATGAAACTCAGAAAAAGTTTGCTCAAGCAAGGAACTGAAATCTACCCTGTCATCAGGAACTTTTAGACAAAATCAAATCCAAGTCAACTTAGAAGCATACAGTATATAGATCTTTGTGTATCTCTTTTAGCTATACATTAGGCATGTCCTCATAGTATCCACCAAGCATAGATTGCTTTTGTACTTAGAAGACATGGAACACCTCAGAAGAGATTTCATAAAAACGTCCTTCACTTAAATATTATAGCATTCTCCTTAGAGTTTTGCAGACTGATTGTCGGAAATAGCAATACACACAGTTTTTCCTGCTGTGTGAGCTTATCAAAAACAGTGATTTCAGTTTTCTATCTCTAGCATCTGATGCAAACGTGCATTGAATGTTTGATTACTGAGTTAATAAGTGAGCAGAAGGTGGTCACAGTACAGATGGCAAAAAGGCAATTGTTTATCTTTCTGATTACCATAGGTCTCAGTTAAATAATTTTCTCAAACTATGTTTTTAGTGTGGTGATCAGTTACAAAGACAAACCTCCCTACGTATGTTATGCCCTGTTCCCTACTGGAAAATCACTGTGAACACTATTTAAGAGTTGGAGGCAATGACAAATTATAGAATCATTTTAAGTAGAAAATTAAAAACAACATTTTTAAAGTGTCTGCCATAGAAACCAATAGTATTTTTTGTACATTTATTGTTTCTGTTAATTATTCAGCTGGCAGTAGGACAGATTTACTACAATAATCCAAAAATGCTAATAAACAATTGTATCTAACTTTGTAGTTGTTAAGTCACTTTTCTTTTTTACTGTCTCAGCCCAGAAGAATCAGTGCAGTTTCTGTGGCAGAGCGAGTTGCATTTGAAAGAGGAGAAGAGACTGGAAAAAGCTGTGGATACACTGTTCGAATTGAGTCTGTACTCCCTCGTTTTCATGCCAGTATAACGTTTTGTACTGTAGGTCAGTAATATATTTTCAAATTTCATTTGGGGTTTATGTTGTGGTGTTTGTGAAGAAAACTTGACAGCAGAACAGAATGACTGGAAAGAAATAATGATTCAGTCTCAGATTTCTTGTTTAAATAAAACTTTTGGCAGTTTTTTCCTTCATGGTAAGTATGATATACCCATTAGATCTTGTAGCTTAGAGAAAATGAAATCATAAAATTGGTGAAAAAAACTATATTTCATAGTGTACTATCACCTTTTTAGTAGTTTAAATGTACACGTGATTATTTTTTAAATTGATGCTGGGGTATCTTAGTTGAAATATAGATAACTGTCCAGACATTTGCTTCTTTGAACTTTTCTACAGTTTGTTGATTGTTTTTCTTTTGAAGGTCTGCTCCTAAGAAAATTAGAATCAGGCATTTGAGGAATCAGTCATGTAACTGTAGGTGAAATACATGAAAGAGACATTAATGTAAGTAACTTGAGAGGTACAGTAAGGTACTAATTCTACTATTTCTAAGAGAAATCAGTAGAATGTCTTTGATTTGTTTTCCCTTTCCCCTGTTTTTATCATTATCAAAACTACGAACTTCAATCACTCAGATGTTGAAAATCTTTTTTTAGCAAGATTGTTAAATTTTTTTTTCTTTATTGTTAAACTTTACAGAAAGCATTCTGGAAGTGAAGACCTATGTCGTAAAGTGTAACTGCAGTGATCAGTAATAGCTGGCATATTTCAGCAATTGAACTAATGATTTATGACTAAATAGCTGATGGAATTTTTATGATTCGTTTTTCTTTGGATTGGAAGTTTATGATAGATTTTATAATGGCTTTTTTTGTTGTTGTTTTGAGACAGAGTCTTGCTCTGTCACCCAAGCTGGTGTGCAATGGTGCAATCTCAACTCACAGCAACCTCCTCCTCCCACATTCAAACAATTCTTCTGCCTCAGCCTCCTGAGTAGCTGGATCTACAGGCGCCCGTCACCATGCCTGACTGATTTTTGTATTTTCAGTAGAGATAGGGTTTCAACACCATGGTCAGGCTGGTATGGAACTCCTGACCTCAGGTGATCCACCTGTCTTAGTCTCCCAAAATGCTGAGATTACAGGCATGAGCCATTGTGTCCAGCCTATAGTGTTTATTTTAAAATAATTAACAGAGTTTTTTCAGATGTTTTCAGCTCTGATCTTTTCAGATGTTAATGAGAATCATGCCAAAATTGGGAAGAAACTATAATTTATTTCCAACCAATCCCTCTTTTAGCCCTTGGCAAAACTGGTGTAAAATTAACTGCTATGCAATTAAATGATGTGAAATTATATCCAAGCCAAGTATTACAGTGCCTTACAAAGGTTTCAGTGCATGGGCAGCATGCTTTTTAAACTGCCGCCAGTGACTCAAAGATTTTTTTTTTCTTTTTTTCTTTTCTTCTCCCAACCCCCATTCTGAAGTTACCCACAGGCCACTAGCCATAAGTTCAGTCAATAATTAGCAAACACAAGACATCACTTCCAAGTTTCTAAGTGTTTTAAGAGTTGTATGCCAGGAAAGGGGGTTGAAGACCAAATATATATTTCATAATATCACAAGTCATAAAATTGAATAATACTCAGCAACAAAAAGAAATAAAGTACTGATTCATCCATCAGTATGGATAAATTTTAAAACATTATTCTAAAAGAAATAAACTGGAGACAATAATACCTGCCATATAATTTTATGCATATGAAATTTTAGAAAAAAGCAAATCTGGTATGTGGTGACAAAAGTCAGATCAGTAGTTTCCAGGGATTGGGAATTTCCAAATTTCAAGCATAGCAGTCAAAAAAATTAACTGTTATGCTTGAAATGTGACATTATTTAATGCACTTTTGATATAATAAAATTAATCTAAAAATAAGGTTAATAAAAGGATTTGGGTTTTAGATCTCATGATAATCTCTAACACTTCTTTTAATTCTTGTTTTTTTCTTTCTCTTTCTTTTTTTTTTTTATTTTGACCCTTGTTACCCAGACTAGAGTGCAATGGTGCAATCTCGGCTTACTGCAACCTCTGCCTCCTAGATTTAAGTGATTCTCCTTGCCTCAGTCTCCCAAGTAGGTGGGATTACAGGTGCCTGCCACCAGGCCTGGCTAATTTTTTGTATTTTTAGTAGAGATAGGGTCTTACCATGTTGGCCTGGCTGGTCTCAAACTCCTAACCTCAGGTGATCCATCCACCTCTCCTCAAAGCATTTCTTAAAACTTTCTCCTCTTACTTTTATATCAGTTTTTGTTAAACATCTTGAGTTTTGGCAAAGCTAAGCTGAAGCAGATAAGACTGGTTTGGATGGTTTATCATGACTGTAAATTATGTAAGTTTTCAGTAGGACAAAATTTTTGCTCTTTTGTCCTTTATATTCTCTTGGAAACTTTACAGGTTTTTCCTAATTAACTTAATTGACAAATGTTTCTATATTATCTTTAATTGCTTGTTAATCTAGCAATGTTCTTAGGGTTTAAATTATTCCAAACACTGGAATAATGTCATGGATAATCCTTGGTATTTTTCTAAAACAGTAAGTGGTTTGGGTCAGCTTAAGCAACTTAGGATGTAAGTCTGGGCCAGGTGCAGTGGCTCACGCCTGTAATCCTAGCACTTTGGGAAGCCAACGTGGAAGGGTCTGTGAAAACTTGTCCAGTATGGTCTGGTCTGCTCCTGTCCTGCCAGTTTGGTAGGGTCCAGTCCTGACCAGTCTTATCATATTTGGCCTGGTCTTGTCCAGTTTGGTCTGGTCTTATTCTGTCCAGTTCTGTCTGGTCTTGACCAGTCTTATCTCGTCTTGTCCAGTTTGGTCCAGTCTTGTCTGGCCCAGCCTGGTCTTGTCCAGTTTGGTCCAGTCTTGTCTGGCCCAGCCTGGTCTTGTCCAGTTTGGTCCATTCCTGACCAGTCTTATCCAGTTCGGCCCAGTCTTGTCTGGTTTGGTCTGGTCTGATCCTGACCAGTCTTATCCAGATTGGCCCATTCTTGTCTGGTTTGGTCCAGGCTTGTCCAGTCCTGTCTGGTCTTATCTGTTCTGACCCAGTCTTGTCCTATCGGATTTGATCTGGTCTGGTCTGGTTCTGTCCAGTCCTGACAGGTCTGGTCCAGTCTTCTCTGGTTTGGTCCAGTCCTGACCAGTCTTATCCAGATCTGCATGGTCTTGTCCAGTTTGGTCTGGTCCTGTCCAGTCCTGTCCAGTCTTACCTGGTTTGGTCCATTCTGGTCTGATTCGGTCCAGTCCTGACCAGTCTTATCCAGTTTGGCCTGGTCTTGTCTGGTTTGGTCCAGTCTTGTTGAGTTCTGTCCGGTCTTATCCAGTCTGGCCCAGTCTTGTCCTATCTGGTTCGGTCTGGACTGGTCTGGTTCAGTCCAATCCTGACTGGTCTGGTCCAGGCTTGTCCAGTTTCATCTGGTCCTGACCAGTCTTATCCAGTTCAGCACAGTCTTGTCCGGTTTGGTCCAGTCTTGTCCAGTCCTTCTGGTCTTAACTGGTTTGGTCTGCTCTGGTCTGGTTCAGTCCAGTCCTGACCAGTCTTATCCAGTATTGTCAAGTCTGGTCCAGTATGTCTGTTTTGGTCCAGTCCTGACCAGTCTTATCCAGTTCAGCCCAGTCTTGTCTGGTTTGATCTGGTCTTGTCCAGTCCTGTCCAGTCGTATGCAGTTTGGTCCAGTTCAGTCCAGTCTGGTCTGGTTCACTCCAGGCCTGACCAGTTTTACAGGTTTCAGCCAGGTCTGGTCCAGTCTTGTCCATTTTCATCTGGTCCTGACCAGTCTTATCCATTTTGGCCCAGTCTTGTCCGGTCCTGACTGGTCTTGTCCAGTTTGGTCTGGTCTTGGCCGGTTCAGCCTGGTCCTTGCCAGTCTTGTCCAGTTCGGCCCAGTCTTGTCTGGTTTGTTCTGGTCCAGTCTGGTTCAGTCCAGTCCTGACTGGTCTTGTCTGGTTTGGCCTAGTCCAGTCCTGACCCAGTCTTATGCAGTCTGGCCCGGTCTTGTCCGCTTTGGTCCAGTCTGGTCCAGTGCATTTCAGTGTAGTCCAGTTTTGTTGGGTCTGGTCTGGTTTGGTATGGTCCTGTCTGGGCTTTTCAGGCCTGGTCCTGTCTTGTCCACTTCAGCCCAGGTTTGTCTTCTTTTTTATTGAAGTTTCACTCTTCAGCCCAGGCTAGAGTGAAGTTGCTGCATCTCAGCTCACTGTACCCTCTGCTGCAGAATTCAAGGGATTCTCCTGCCTCAGCCTATGAGTAGCTGGGATTGTAGGTGCCTGCCACCACACCTGGCTAATTTTTGTATTATTTGTAGCGACACTATTTTGCCATGTTGTCCAGGCTGGACTCAAACTCCTGACCTCAGGTTATCTGCCTGCCTTGGCCTCCCAATGTGCTGGGATTTACAGGTGTGAGCCACCTTGCCCAGCCTGAAGAAACTTTTCATGTTCTCTTTCAAGATAAATCTTACCTTGTTCTGTCACCTTACATAGAAAACCCAAGTGTACTTATAGACCAATACTACAAATAATAGAACTTAACAGTATGGCTGGATAAAAGGTTAATATAAAAAAGGCAGTAGCTTTTTTTATACTTATAAGAATAGCTAGAAAAAATAAAAAGAAAATAGACTTCAGCAGTCAAAGTATTCAGTACCTAAGAATAAACAACAAAAACAGGCAAGATCTTTACAAGATAAATAAATTTTATTACAAAACACTGAAAAAGAGCAGACAATGTTTATATATAGTAGGATTTAATAACATCAATTATTTTCAAGTTGATCCACATTTTGAATGCAATTCTAATTAAAATACCGGCAAGGTTTTCCATACAACTTGATGAGGTGATTGTAAATACTTAATAAGATAGATTTATGGCCCCAAGTAGCCAGTATTTCTAAAGAAGAACAGAATGGAGAATCTTGCCTTACAGATAACAAGACCTGTTTTGAAGCTAAAATAATCGAGACAGTGAGGTACATGGGTTGATAGATGGGATAAGACAGGGCACAAAAACACATTGTATGTTGTATGTTACATGCAACGTTGTTATGAGATAATGGTGGCATGCCATATCAGCGAGCTAGGGAATGAGCATTTAAGTAAATGGAACTGGAAACTAATTGTTATTTCAATGTATTTGAAATAACTTCCCTACCTCATAACTAAGTACAAAAATCATCTCCATATAGATTGAGAACTTTAAATGTGTTGACACATGAAAGAGTTTTTCAAACACTGAAGTAGAAAATATAAAAATATAAATAAGCATCTTCTAGACAGTGCTGTCCAAAAGAAATACGTAAGCCACATAATTTAAATTTTTCTAATAATGCATTTGAAAAGGTGAAAATGTGAAATTAAACATATTTAACCCAGAATATCTAAAGTATTTACAACACACAGTTAATTTTAAAAGTTATGTTTGAGATATTTTTCATTATTTTTTCTCATACGATGTCTTCAACATTTGGTTTGAACAAATGTGTTTTACATTTAAAGTACATCTCAATTCAGATTAATGCTACTGTATTGGGCAGCATAGTTTTAGACCTTCTGAAAGGATTGCTGAACACATGAAATGCACTAAACTTGAAATAAAAGATCACTGTACTCTTCCATATTAAAATTAAGGTCATTTGTTTAGTCAAAAGGAACTTTAAGGAAAACCTCAAGCTAGAAGATTCCAACATGTTAGTACAGGAATATATAAGCAACGTCCACAAATCAGTAAGAAAAGTTTAAACAATGTAGTAGAAAAATGAGCAAAAATACAGGCATTTTATAGAAGAGGAAACATTTGGTTAATAAACATGGAGATATTCAATCTCACTGGGACTAATGGGAAAGTATAGGTCTAGACCACAAGAAGACACTGCATTATATCCATTTATTTAATAAAAAGCGACATTGTAAAAATGTGGAGAGTATGTGGATCAGCAGGATCGCTTATTCACTGCTCATGGGGATATACAAATAATGGAACCACTTAGGAAAATTGTTAAGTGTTATCTTCTGAAGTTCAGCAGTTACATACCCTATAGCTTGGCAATTCTATACCCACACTTAACCTCCAGAAACTTGGATATGTTTAGCACTGCTCTTTAGACTTAACAAGGATGCTCATAGTAGTAAATGTTCACATTAGTAAATCTTGAAAACAAGCCAGATATATGTAAGAGTAAGTGAATTAACTGATAAATACATACACAGGAACAGTAAACTGTCATCAGAAAGGATGACTATAGTAATGAGTGGATGAATCTTAGCAATGTTGTGGTATGTAAAAAAGGAAATCCCAAGACAACATAAAATATGCATTTCCACAAAGTAAGTAAAATTTAAAAATATAGCCAAGGCAGGTGGATCATTTGAGGCCAGGAATTTGAGACCAGCCTGAGCAACATGGCTTGGCTTACCACAACCTCTCCCTCCTGGTTCCAGTGATTGTCCTGCCTCAGCCTCCTGAGTACTTGGGATTATAGGCATGTGCCACCATACTGGGCTAATATTGTATTTTTAGTAGAGACAGGGTTTCTCCATTGTTGTTCAGGTTGGTCTCGAACTCCCAACCTCAGATGATCCACCCACCTTGACCTCCCAAAATGCTGAGATTACAGGCATGAGCCACTGAGCCCGGCCATTAGCACTCATTCCTAATCTCCAACAACTATTAGGCTACAACTGTTCTTAAAAATTGTTATTGTTATCTTAAAAATTGATAAAGGACCCACTGTGGTCCTTTATCTTGCACTTCTATGAGCCATCTAAGAAAGTGAATTTAAATGATATCTTGTGGCTGTATAACTCCTTTAGGCATAGTTTGTTGTATAAAGTTAATGTAATTTCAAAAATTTTGTGTTTGTGTTTTAATAGACTGACTTCCTTTTGATAGTACTGCGTGATGTGTTTCAGGCTTATCCTGAAGTTCACATTGTTCTTATGTCTGCTACTATTGATACCAACATGTTCTGTGAATATTTCTTCAATTGCCCCATCATTGAAGTTTATGGGAGGACTTAACCAATTGAAGGTAATATTGTGGGGGTGGGATAGGAACATCTTTTGTGCAGTAGGGTTTGGATTTTCTTAATCCTGGAAATTGGAGTTATAATTTAAAGAATACTTAAAATACAGGAAAAATTACAGTATCAGATGTATCATAGCATTTTTGAGGAGCTTCTTGTCTGTGATTTTATACAGTAGTGAGTACAGTCTGAGAAGTGAGACCAGGTTTCATTTACTACTTGAGTAGTTTGCATATCCAGTAAGTTTCCAGGCGTTTACTTATAAAGCCAAACTTTTAAAAATTATAATGAATAGTCAAAGGGAAATAACTGTGGTATATATGTAATTATGGGAATTACTCTTAAGAGTTTAAGCAGCCAGGATCAAATTAAGAATACTTTTTAGAGCCTGAGCAACTAGATTTTGAATTAAGATTAAGGGAAGTATGTCAAGGTTATATATTTCTGATAAGTGAGTGTTCTTTAGTATCTTTTTTTTTTTTCTGAGACAGGGTCTCACTCTGTTGCCCAGACTGGAGTGTAGTGGTGCAATCTTGGCTCACTGCAACCTCTGGCTCCCAGGCCCAATCAGTCCTCCCATCTCAGCTTCCTCATTACCTGGGACTACAGGTGCACACCACCGTGCCTGGCTAATTTTTGTATTTTTTGTAGAGACAAGGTCTCATCATGTTGCCCAAGCTAGTCTCAAACTCATGGACCCAAGCAGTCAGCTTGCCTCAGCCTCCCAAAGTGCTGGGATAACAGTCTAGAGCCACTGTGGCCAGCCTTCTTTACTGTCTTTAGGAGTTGTTATCACAGTTTCCTAGGATAGTCATCTGGTAGCTTTGGGGAAAAAAAATGAATTATGGCACATTCAATTGAGGGCATGAAAATAAGAGAGAAACAGTGTAGATAGATATGACGTTATGGCTATACCAGCATGCTAAGCCAGTGTAATTCACAGGGGTACAGGTTAATTCTAAAACTGCTGTACATGTGTACTGGAATTGACATACAAGTAAATGGATGGCAAGTGGTGGGAGCTCAGTTTCTTTCTTTCTTTTCTTTTTTAGATGAAGTCTAGCTCTGTTGCCCAGGCTGGAGTGCAGTGGTGCAGTCTCAGCTCACTGCAATCTCGTCCTCCCAGGTTCATGTGATTTTCCTGCCTCAGCCTCCTGAGCAGCTAGGATTACAGACACACACCACCACACCCAGCTAGTTTTTGTATTTTTAGTAGAGATGGGCTTTCACCATGTTGGTCACGGTGGTCTTGAGCTGCTGACCTTGTGATCTGCCCATATCAGCCTCCCAAAGTGCTGGGATTACAGGCGTTTACCACCGCGCCTGGCCTTGGGAGCTCAGTTTCTTACTACTAGAAAGAGAAGTTAAACCTAAGTGGGATTGCCAGAACAAAGCATAGGGTACCGGATTATACTCAAAGAGATCAGCATGAACTTGTGTTCAGCTAAATGGAGATACAAATGGGTAGGTATAGAAATATAGATACATGTGGATACATGTGTTAGTATACATACACATTTTTTTCTAGCTCTGTGTGCTGAGTGGGAGTAGAAGCAGTGACACCCAATAGATAGGGATATGCCCCACATCCAGATTTTGTTTTTAATGCCATTCTCCAATTAAAGGAACCAGATATTTCTGGAGAAATGGCTGCTTCTAGGATGAAACAGAATATACAAAAATGAGCCTGGAACATCTTGTGTTTTAAAGTAAGGTAGTGCCTAAAAGAAGCCCATAGCAATGGGGATAAATGGCTACAGGAGCCAATCTGAAAGAGTTCCCAATGGCCAAGGCTGGAACAGTTTAATGAAATAAAAACATGGCATTAGATTACCAAAATGTAAAATATTTATGTGTCTATACTGATATGTAAATAAGTGGTTTAATAAAAATAATAGTGACAAGTCTCTCTTACAAAATAATTTCAAATAATTTATGTAAATGGTCTCCCCATTTTTCAAACAAGTGGGTCTGAACTACCTAACCCCTGAGTGAGCTGTGTTTAATAACTCCTAAAGAGTACAGCGTGGGAAGAAGGGAAAATGAGTAACTTTACAGTGGAGAAACTTGGCAGACACTACCACAGGTGATCAAGTTTTAACATCATGAAGAGTAGGTCATATTGATAAGATGTGCCCTTAATATGATGCGATGAGAATGGCACTTATGGAGTCTTTGGATATAGAGGGTGTTTCAATTATAAAGACATTCTGGGGCCATCTGAGAATCTTGGGCATAATTGATCAACAGATCTTCCAGTCCTTGCATTGAGATCCTTCTTCAGATTAACTAGAAGCCATTTTATGTGTGCATACTGATAGAGGAAGGATAGACTGCGGTATATTGTTTTATTTAAGTTACTACTTTCCATGTACAACTCCAACACAATGGAAGTGTACAGATAAGTGTTTGGTTGAATGTTATACACAGAGGATACCCCAACTGGCTCTGTGGGAACATGTGTAAAAGATACTTCACCTTCCTTCAAGGTCTAAGAGAGGGAAACACTGAGTTTGGTTAGGAAAATAAGGTTATTACTACTGGAATTTTTTGGCATTTGTGAGGAATCAGACTAGAGAGGTATTAAAGTAGTTTTGAACTATGAATTAGCAAATGAATTTGAGTCTGCTCCATTGTGAAAGTTGATAGTACTTACCTGACTGGATCGTCCCTGGCAGAATATTTTCTGGAAGACTGCATTCGGATGACCCACTTTGTTCCTCCACCAAAAGACAAGAAGAAGAAGGATAAGGATGATGATGGTGGTGAGGATGATTATGTAAGTGAATTTCATGAAGAATTTCCATTGTGGGCAAATTGTCAATGCAGAGAAAAAAGGAGTTAATATAACATGCAACTTATTAGCATTACAGAAGATTTTTAAAAAACTGACTATAATGTCTGCCTTTGGATTAATTGATGTATTTTACTGCAAAAAATTACAGGTTCAGTGGCAAGCTGTTTTCTATCACGAGTTAAATTATTTCTGGCATAAAAGTCAAAAGAAAAAAAAGAAAGAATACAATGTTTAAAGGCCAGGCATGGTTACAGACAACACCATTGCATAAAGTTTTGCTACTCAGTATTTTCAGTAGGCTGCAGAACCCGGCAAACTGGTAGAAAGGCAGAATCCTGTGCCCCACCCTAGATCTACTGAATCAGAATTTATGTTTTAACAAGATACCCAGGTGATCTGTATGTACAATAAAGTTTATAAACAGCAGCTATAGCTTCAGCTACAGGAGACTGGAGATGACATTATCAGGTGGACGGAGTATTAAATCAGGGAGCAAAGAGGGATTTCCTAGGAGAAACAGGAAAGAAAAGACCTATATTGTAGTGCTTGAGAGTTGGACAAACGGTAGTATAAAAATGGATGGTTTATCTGGAAATAGACAGCCAGCAATGCAGAATTTGCTTGAAAACTTAAGATTGTATCTTTTTAATCAAAAGATCTGAAGATGTAAGTGAACAGCAGATTAGAAAATTTAGCAGGAAAAAGACCATTTGTAACAACTGTTTCTCAACTTGTTTTATCATTGATTCTAATGTAAACTTTTTGGAAAAATGCTACATTATTTCACTAATATTAAGAAAGAAGTATACTCCTTAGAAGGCTCCATGAGAGGTTTGAGTCAAATTTAAAATTTGTGCTTGAGTTTTAGTCCTATCCTGTGAGAAATACTAGTTAGTAGAAAAGTTCAGTATATTAATGTAAGCTCTACATTTTTGGAAATTAAATTTCTCTGTATTCTGTAGTGTATGACCAGTCAACTAGAATAAATAACGACATTACAAGTCATTAGAGTCACTAGAAGAAATCTAGAAGACTTACCTCATGAGCTGTAGTAACTGTCATGAGCTGTAGTAACTGTCATGAGCTGTAGTAACAGACAGTCCAAAATATGTCTCCCTGTTTTTTACAGGAAAATTGCAACTTGATCTGTGGTGATGAATATGGTCCAGAAACAAGGTTGAGCAGGTCTCAATTGAACGAAAAGGAAACTCCCTTTTAATTCATCAAAGCTCTACTTAAGTACATTGAAACTCTTAACGTTTCCGGAGCTGTTGTTTTGTTTTGTTTTGTTTTGTTTTGTTTTTTTGCCTGTCTGGAATTTGATTTATACTGTGAAGAAGCATTTGGAAATGAATCCACATTTTGGTATGAGTCTTTAAATTCTCACATATTTGAGAGTGAAAATGAATGTTTTTGCTAGTGCCTTAGCCAGTATGTGAAAACAAAATTTTGTGTTGTCAATACTTTCGAAGAAAAAAAATATGTACAACGGAGAGCTGTTTGAAACCAGTTCCTATTTTTAGTCCCTGATTGTTCTGTACTGTTATATATGGGAAGCCATCAGTACCAGATTCTACTTCTGCATTCTCAGATTCCTCCAGAGCAACAGCGCAAAGTGTTGGATCCAGTACCAGTTGGAGTAACCAAGGTAAATATTAAACATTACAATGATGGGATTGGAAGTGATGTTGATATTAAACAAATGTTACAGGTCTTCAAAGAGCTACCCAAAAAATTGTAACCCATCTAAATTGAGGAAGAAAAAAGGAGTCTTCTCTTTCTGAGCTTAGTAGATTGTTCATTAATTGGTTATTGGGTGATTTTCTTAGGACTTCTGTAATTTTCTTGTCATTTGTTACATACATAAGCAAACCAGTCGTTTCAAGTACATAATAAGAATATTATCTGGAGTGTAATTTTTCTTTCTTCACAGGTTATTTTTTCCACAAATATTGCTGAAACAAGCATTACCATAAATGATGTTGTTTATGTCATTGGCTCCTGCCAGTTAGTTACTGGGAAACCTATTTACCTGTTCCAGTATTACCAACTGGAAACTTCTTACCAGTTAACAGAATGAAAAACATCTTATTTTTAAACTCCTGTGTTCTTATATCTCCAAAACTATTGTGCATCTACATAGAATTATAGGTAATTGATAATTAAGAGTAATTATTTGTGTTGATTACTGCAAATAAGTTATGGTAGAAAGTGACAAAGCTTGAAATGGTAACTGATGATTACTTCTCATTGTTCTTGGCTGCTGGTATTTCACTTATTTCCCATTGGGTGTTTCCATTGATCACTGCCATACTATAGCATGCTGTTTGATGAATAAAGATGACCAGTGTTTAACACATAACAAATATCCTACTTTGAAGGACACTCCTTTAAGGATTAAAGGTCTTCATTTTGGTATGAGATGAGCCTGGAAAATATACCAGGAGGCATTATGTGTAGATACATAGATGTGTAGATACATAGATTAGATGGTAATTGATAAATTGAAAGGACAAAAAAGTTGAAACTTGGTTATATCTGGCCAACTTGTGCCCCAAGATATCTCTATATAATCCCTTAGTCTGTCCTGACAATGAAAACAATTTGCTGCCAACATCTATTTTAGGAAATGGTGAATAGCATTCTGTGCCAATCCCAGTAGTTTAGTGGCAACTGTCTCTGTATGTAACATTGAAGGAATCTGAGGTTGCTTGGGAATTCAAAAGGACCACGTAGGCATCACTAAATATAGATATCCTAAAATTTACACTGAACTTTTGAATAGAGATGACTTAAATAATTATTTTCTTTTGTGTATGTGCCATATTCCATTTAAATGCTTTGCATTTGTTAATTTACTTAATGTTTACAAAAAAAACTCTATAAGGTAGCTAATGGCATGGAAAGTTTGACCAAGGCAGTTCAGCTGGTAAGTGGCAGGTGGATGTTACATTACCTTTTAGTAGGTTGACAAATAGGAGTGTGCAGTCAAATTGCTGATTCTTATTGTGTCATTCATGAATAGTCACCACATGTAGGTATGGCTTTAACTACATAGTGGAAAGCATTCACTACTTAGTGGATTAGTGGATATATCATAGTTATTGATAATACACACGAGTCTTAGAATTAACCACTCTTTCCTATGTAGGCAGAAAGTAAAACTCTTCACTGCTCACAACAATATGACCAACTATGCTAGAGTACAGACATCATAAACAAACCTTGAGCAGTGGAAAGGGTGAGCTGGCCGAGTACGTCCCGGATTCTGCTTTCACCTCTGCAGCCAAGCTCGTTTTGACAGGTAAGTCCAATTCTTGACATTTAGTAAGGGATTTTCTTCTGTTCCATTTTTTGTCGTTCTGTTCTCTGTAAGAACAGACATGTGCAGTTATGTAAACCTGCCAATTTAAGCTGATCTAAGTCTTGCCAGTCATGTTGGAATCAGGTGTAAATGTTTCTTAAGAATCTTCATCACAAATCATTTTAGAGAATAAGCCAGAATTAGAAACATAGAGACCTAGATTTTAATATTATATGTGCCTAATACATTGTATAACACTAAACGGTTACTGTTTAGGCTTGAATTTCCCTCATTCTATAAAATAGTAAGTTACTTAACTTCTCTTCTTTCCTCAGTTGTAAAAAGAATATGGTAAATAATGCCTAAACCACAGGGTTGCCCAAGAATTAAATGAGTTAATAATGTAAAATACTTTGAACATACTCTGGCACATCATGATCTCCCAATAAATGTTTGCTATTGTTAATTTATAGAGGTCAAATATCTCCTTTAAAACTGAAATGCTTGGGAGCAGGAGTGCTTTTTTATTTTTTATTTTTTATTGTAATATTTGAATTGTATTTACAAGTCAGGCATCCCTAATCTGAAAATATGAAATCTAAAATGCTCTAATGAACATTTCCTTTAAGTGTCATGTCAGAAGTCAAAAAGTTTTGGATTTTAAAGAGTTACATCTGTAACAGTGATTCTAGTGGCAATAAAATTACATGAACTAGAAAGGTGGGGACGTTGTAGAGAAATCTTAGTATGAGTTATCATCCTGCAAAAAGTCTTGCTGTTGTTTTCAACCCATGTTTGTCAACAGGCAAGGCCTGAAGAGACCATGGATGGAGCTAATAAATTCGGGATTTTGGATATTTTTTTCACTTTTCTTCTCAGCTTAAAAGGTCAACAAGTTGTGAGGATAAGTCAGAAATCGCTATGCAACCAGATTAAATTTTGTCCACAGTGTGTATAGTGAATGAAAAAAGGTTTGATGGTAATTGTAAAATAAAAGGATGAGGAAAGGGAAGCTCTGTATCCCTGATTACCATGCTGCAAAAACTTTATTGGAAACAATGTTTTTGTAGAATCTGCAAAAGGACATTAGGGGGCGCATAGAGATCTATGCTCAAAAAGAAAATATTTTCAGATATAAACTAGAAAGAAGCTTTCTGCAAAACTGCTTTGTGATGTTTGCGTTCATCTCACAGTGTTAAAAATTTCTTTTCATTCAGCAGTTTGGAAAAACTGTTTTTGTCCATTCTGCAAATGGACGTTTGGGAGCTCTGTGAGGCCAAAGGTGAAAAAATGAATATCCTAGGATGAAAAATGGAAGGAAGCTATCTGAGAAACTGCTGTTTGATGTGTGCATTCATCTCACTAAGTTAAACTTGTCTTTTCATTCAGCAGTTTGGAAACATTGTTTTGGTAGTATCTGAGAAGGGTTGTTTGGGAGGACTTTAAGGCCTAGTGTGAAGAAGAAAACATCTTCAGATAGAAACTCGAAAGTACCTTTCTGAGAAAATGCTTTGTGATGTGTGCATTCATCTAACTGAGTTAACCTTTCCCTGAATTCAGCAGTTTGGAATCAATGTTTTTGTAGAATCTGTGAATGGATACTTGAGTGCTCCTTAACACAAATGATGAAAAAGTGAATATCCCGGGATAAAAACTAGAAGGAAGCTATCCGAGAAATCACTTTGTGATGTGTGTATTCGTCTCACAGAGTTAAACTTTCCTTTTATTCAGCAGTTTAGAAACACTGTTTTGGTAGTATCTGAGGAGGGTTATTTGGGAGCACTTTGAGGCCCAGTGTGAAGAAGGAAATATCTTCAGATAAAACCTAGAAAGTACCTTTCTGAGAAACTGCTTTGTGATGGGTGCATTCATCTGAGAGAGTTAAACTTTTATTTGGATTCAGCAGTTTGGAAACACTGTTTTTGTCTATTCTGCAAATGGAGACTGCTGAGTTCATTGAGGCCAATGGCAAAAAAGTGAATAGCCCAGGATAAAAACTAGAAGGAAGCTATTTGAGAAACTGCATTGTGATGTGTGCATTCATCTCACAGAGTTAAAGTTTTCTTTCAATTCAGCTGTTTGGAAATACTGTTTTGGTAGATTTCTCAAAGGGATATTTGGGAGCACATTGAGGCCTATGGTGAAAAGGAAATATCTTCAGATGAAATTAGAAAGAAGCTTTTGAAGAAACTGCTTTGTGATGTGTGCATTCACCTAACAGAGTTAAACTTTTTTTGGATTCAGCAGTTTGGAAACCCTGGTTTTATCCATCCTGCAAATGAAAGTTTTTTAGCTCATTCATGCCAAAGGTGAAAAAGTGAATATAGCAGAATAAAAACTAGAAGGAAGCTATCTGAGAAGCCGCTTTGTGATGTGTGCATCCATCTCACAGTGTTAAAGCTTTCTTTCCATTCAGCAGTTTGGAAACACTTTTTTTGTAGAATCTGTGGAGGGATATTTGGGAGCACATTACGGCCTACATTGAAAAAGGAAATATCTTCAAATAAAAACTAGAAAGAATATTTCTGAAAAACTGCCTCATGATGTATGCATTCATCTCACAGAGATAAACCTTTCTTTGGATTCAGCAGTTTGGAAACACTGTTTTTGTCCATTCTGCAAATGGACATTTGGGAGCTCATTTTGGTCAATGGCAAAAAGTGAATATTCCAGGATAAAAACCAGAAGAAAACTATCTGAGAAACTGCTTTGTGATGTGTGCATTCATCTAGCAGAGTTAAACTTTTCTTTTCATTCAGCAGTTTGTAAATACTGTTTGGTAGAATCTGTGAAGGGATATTTGGGAGCACCTCGAGGGCTATGGTGAAAAGGAAAATATATTCAGATAAAAATTAGAAAGAAGCTTTCTGAGAAACAGCTTTGTGATGTGTGAATTCATCTCACAGAGTTAAACCTGTTTTTGGATTCAGTAGTTTAAAGACACTGTTTTTGTAGAATCTGTGTAGGGATATTTTGGAGTCACTGAGGCCAAAGGCGAAAAAGATAATATCCCAGGGTAAAAACTGGAAGGAAGGTATCTGAGAAACTGCTTTGTGATCTGTGCATTCATCTCTCTGAGTAGAAGTCTTCTTTTCATTCAGCAGTCTGGAAATACTGTTTTGGCAGAATCTGTGAAGGAATATTTGGGAGTGTATTGAGGCCAAAGGTGAAAAAGTGAACATACCAGGATAAAAGCTAGACGATACCTATCTGATAAACGGCTTTGTGATGTGTGCATTCAACTTGCAGAGTTAAACTTGTCTTTTTATTCAGCAGTTTGGACAAACTCCTTTTTAGAATCTACGAGGGGTTATTTTTGAGGGCTTTGAGGACTATCATGAAAAAGGAAATATCTTCAAATAAAAACTAGAAAGAAGCATTCTGAGAAACTGCTTTGTGATGTGTGAATTCATCTCAAATAGTTAAACCTTTCTTTGGATTCAGCAGTTTGGAAACTCTATTTTTGTTCACTCTGGGAATGGACATTAGGGAGCTCCTTGAGGCCAAAGACAAAAGAGTGAATATCCCAGGATAAAACATAGAAGGAAGCTATCTGAGTAACTGCTTTATGCTCTGTGAATTCATCTCACTGAGTTAAACCTTTCTTTTCATTCAGCAGTTTGGAAACACTGTTTTGGTAGAATCTGTTAAAAGATATTAGAGAGCGCTTAGAGGCCAATGGTGAAAAAGGAAATAACTTCAAAGAGTAGAAAGAAGCTTTCTGAGAAACTGCTTTGTGATGTGTCCATTCAACTCACAGAGTTCAACCTTTCTCTGGATTCAGCAGTTTGGAAATACTGTTTTTTTCCATTCTGTGAATGGAGATTCCTGAGCTCATTGAGGCCAAATGTGAAAAGGCAAATATCCAAGGATGAACACTGGATGGAAGCTATCTGAGAAACTGCTTTGTGATGTGTGCATTCATCTCGGAGAGTTAAATCTTTCCTTTCATTCAGCAGCCTGAAAACACTGTTTTTGTAGATTCTGCAAAGACATATTTGTGAGCACAATGGGGCCTATCGTTAAAAATGAAATATCTTCAGATAAAAACTAGAAGGAAGCTTTTTGAGAAACTGCTTTGTGATGTGTGCATTTGTCTCACAGAGTTAAACCTTTCTTTGGATTCAGCAATTTGGAAACAGTTTTTGTAGAATCTACAAAGGGAAGTTTGGGAACTCATTGAGGTCAAAGATGAAAAGTTGAATATCCCTAGATAAAAACTAGATGGAAGCTATCTGAGAAACCACTTTGTTATGTGTGCATTCATCTCGCATATTTAATCCTCTCCTTTCATTCAGAAGTTTGGAAACACTGTTTTTGTTGAATCTGGAAGGGATATTTGAGAATGCATTCAGGCCTGTGGTGAAAAAGGAAATATCTTCAGATAAAAAATTGAAAGAAGCTTTCTGGGAAACTACTTTATTATATGTACATTCATCTGACAGATGTCAATCTTTCTTTGGATTCAGCAATTTGGAAACACTGTTTTTGTAGAATCTATGAAGGGATGTTTGGGTACTCATTGAGGCCAAAGATGAAAAATCGAATATCCCAGGATAAAAACTAGATGGAAGCTATCTGAGAAACAGCTTTGTTATGTGTGCATTCATCTCACAGAGTTAAACATTTCTTTTCCTTCAGCAGTTTGGAAACATTGTTTTTGTAGAATCTGAAGGGATATTTGAGAGCACTTTCAGGCCTGTGGTGAAAAAGGAAATATCTTCATATAAAACATTGAAAGAAGCTTTCTGAGAAACTGCTTTGTGATGTGTGCATTCTTCTGACGTATGTCAACCTTTCTTTGGATTCAGCAGTTTGGAAACATTGTTTTTGTCCATTCCACAAATGGACATTTGGGAGTTTAGTGAGGCCAATGGTGAAAAAGTATCCCCAGATAAAAACTAGAAGAAAGCCATCTGAGAAACCACTTTGTGATGTGCTAATTCATTTCACAAAATTAAACCTTTCTTTTCATTCAGCAGTTTGGAAACAGTGTTTTTTAAGAATCTGGGAAGGGATGTTTGGTAGATCACTGAGTCCATAGGTGAAAAAGTGAGTATCCCAGGATAAAAAATAGAAGGAACTTATCTCAGAAAATGCTTTGTGATGTGTTCATTTATCTCACAGAGTTAAACTTTTCTTTTAATTCTGTAGTTTGGAAACACTGTCTTGGTATAATCTGTGAGGCAATATTTGGGAGCGCATTGAGGCCTATGGTTAAAAAAGAAATATCTTCTAGTAAATATTAGCAAGTAGCATTCTCAGGAACTGTTTTGTAATGCGTGTATTCATCTCACACAGTTAAACCACTGTTTGGATTCAGCAGTATGGAAACCGTGTTTTTGCAGAATCTATGAAGACATATTTGAAAGCTCCTTGAGGCCAAAGGTGAAAAAAGAGAATATCCCAGGATAAAAACTGGAGAGAAACTTTCTGAGAGACAGCTCTGTGATGTGTGCATTCACCTCACAGAGTTCAACCTTTCTTTTTATTCAGCAGTTAGGAAACACTACTTTTGTAGAATCTGTGAAGGGATATTTGGGAGTTTATTGAGGCCTATGGAGAAAAAGAGAGATATATTCATATTAAAACTAGAAAGAAGCTTTCTGAGAAACTGCTTTATGATGTGTGCATTCATCTCACAGGTTTAAACTTTTCTTTGGAATCAGTAGTTTGGAAACACTGTTGTTGTCCATTCTGTGAATGGATATTTGGGACCTCATTGAGGCCAATGGCAAAAAAGTGAATATTCCAGGATAAAAACTAGAAGAAAGCTATCTGAGGAACTGCTTTGTGATGTGTGCATTCATCTCACAGAGTTAAACCTTTCTTTTCATTCAGCAGTTTTCATTCTTTTCATTCAGCAGTTTTTAAACACCTTTTTTTGTGAATCTGCAAAGGGATATATGGGAATTCACTGAGGCCAAAAACCATAAAAGCAAATATCGCAGGATGAATACTAGAAGGAAGCTATTTGAGAAACTGCTTTGTGATGTGTGCATTCATCTCTCAGAGTTGAAACTTCCTTTTCATTTAGCAGTTAGGAGACACTGTTTATATAGAATCTGCAAATGGATATTTGGGAGTGCATTGAGGCCTATGATGAAAGAGGAAATATCTTCAGATAAAAACTAGAAAGAAACTCTCTGAGAAACTGTTCTGTGATGTGTTCATTCATCTCACATTGTTAAACATTTCTTTGGATTCAGTAGTTGGGAAACACTGTTTTTGTCCTGAATGGATATTTTGGAGCTCATTGAGGACATAGGCAAAAAAGAGAATACCCCAGGATAAACATTGAAAGAAGCTTTCCGAGTAACAGCTTTTTGATATGCGCATTCATCTCACAGAGTTAAACCTTTCTTTTCTTTCAGCAGTTTGGAAACACTCTTTTGGTAGAATCTGCAAAGGGATATTTGGGAGTGCATTGAGGCCTAGGGTGAAAAAGGAAATATGCACAGAGAAAAACTAGAAAGAAGGTTTCTGAGAAACTGCTTTGTGATGTGTGCATTCATCTCACAGAGTTCAACACTTGTTTGAATTCAGCAGTTTGGAATCACAGTTTTTGTAGAACATGTGAAGGGATATTTGGGATCTCATTGATGCCAATGGTGAAAAAATGAATATTCCAACATAAAAACTAGAAGGAATGTATCTGAGAAACCACTCTGTGAGGTGCGCATTCATCTCACAGAGTTAAACCTTTCTTTTAATTCAGCAGTTTGGAAACTCTGTTATGGTAGAATCTGAGAAGGGATATTTGGGTAGTATTGAGGACTAGGGTGGAAAAGGAAATATCTTCAGTTAAAATCTAGAAAGAACCTTTCGGAGAAACTGCTTGGTGATATGTGCATTCATATCACAGAATTAAACATTTCTTTGGATTCTGTAGTTTGGAAACAGTGTTTTTGTCCATTCCCTGAATGGATATTTGGGAGCCCATTGAGGCCAATGGTGAAAAAGCGAATATCCCAGGATAAAAACTCGAAAGAATCTATCAGAGAAGCCACTTTGTGATGTGTGCATTCATCTAGCAGAGTTAAACCTTTCTTTTCATTCAACAGTTTGGAAACACTGTTTTTGTAGAATCTGTGAAGGTATATTTGGGAACTCATTGAGGCCAATGGCAAAAAAGTGAACATCCCAGGATAAAAACTAGAAGGAAGCTATCTGAGAAACTGTTTTGTGATATGTGCATTCATCTCCCAGAGGTAAAACTTTCTTTTCATTCAACAGTTTGGAAACACTGTTTTTGCAGAATCTGCGAAGGTATGTTTCGGAGTGCATTTTGGTCTAGTGTGAAAAAGGAAATATTTTCAGATAAAAACTCGAAAGAACCTTCCTGAGAAACTGCTTTGTGACGTGTGTTTTCATGTAACAGAGCTAAAACTTTCTTTGGATTCAGCAGTTTGGAAACACAGTTTTTGTCCATTCTGAAAGTGGAGAATTCTGAGCTCATTGAGGCCAATGGTGAAAAAGTGAATATTCCTGGATAAAAATTAGAAGTAAGGTATCTGAGAAACTGCTGTGTGATGTGTGCAGTTTTCTCACAGAGTTAAACCTTTATTTGGAATCAGCAGTTTGGAAACCCTGTTTTGGTAGATTCCATGAAGGGATATTTGGGAGCACATTAAGGCCTACAGTGAAAAAGGAAATATCTTCAGATGAAAACTAAAAAAAAAAAAAATGATTTTTGAGAAAATGCTTTGTGGTGTGTGCATTCATCTGGGAGTTAAACTTTTGTTTGGATTGAGCAGTTTGAAAACACTGTTTTTGTCCACTCTGTGAATGGACACTTGGGAGCTCATTGAGGCCAGTGGTGAAAAAGCATATAATCCAGGATAAAAAATAGATGGACACTGTCTGAGAAACCACTTTGTGATTTGTGCATTCATCTTGAAGAGTTAAATCTTTCTTTTCATTCAGCAATTTGGAAACACTGTTTCAGTAGAGTCTGCGAAGCAATATTTGGTAGCACATTGAGGTCTATGGTGAGAAAAGAAATATCAGATAAATTATAGAAAGAAGATTTCTGACAAACTGCTTGGTAATGTGTGCCTTCATCTCACTGAGTTAAACCTTTCTTTGGATTCAGCAGTTAGGAAACACTCTTTTTTCCATCTGTGAATGGACATTTTGGAGCTCATGATTCCAAAGGCAAAAAACCAAATATCCAAGGATAAAAACTAGAAGGAAGCTATCTGAGAAACCATGGTGTGATGTGAGCATTCATCTTGCAGAGTTAAACCTTTCTTTTCATTCAGCAGTTTGAAAACACTGTTTTGATAGAGTTTGTGAAGGGATACCTGAGAGCACATTGAGGCCTCGGGTGAAAAACGAAATATCTTCAGATAAAAACTAGAGAGAAGATTTCTGAGAAACTTCTTTGTGATGTGTGCATTCATTTCACAGAGTTATACCTTTCCTTGGATTCAAGAGTTTGGAAACACTGTTTGTGTCCACTCTGTGAATAGACATTTTGGAGCTCATTGAGGCCAATGGCAAAAAAGTGAATATCCCAGGGTAAAAACTTGAAGGAAGCTATGTAAGAAACCACTTTGTGATATGTGCCTTCGTCTCACAGAGTGAAAACTTTCTTTTCATTCAGCAGTTTGGAAACACTGTTTTGGTAGAATCTGTGAAGGGATATTTGGGAGCACTTTGAGACCTAGGTGAAAAAGGAAATGTCTTCAGATAAAAACTAGAAAGAACGTTTCTGAGAAACTGCTTGTTGCTGTGTGCATTCATCTCATGGTGATAAACCTTTCTTTGGATTCAGCAGTTTAGAAAAACTGTTTTTGTCCTTTCTGCAAATGGACATTTGAGAGCTCCTTGAGGCCAAAGGCAAAAAAGCAAATATCCCAGGATAAAAACTAGAAGAAATCTGCCTGAGAATCTGCTCTGTGATGTGTGCACTCGTCTCACAGAGTTCAACCTTACGTTGAATAAAGCAGTTGGAAACACTGTTTTTGTAGAACCAACGAAGAGATATTTTGGAGCTCATTGAGGCCTATGGCAAAAAGGGAATATCCCAGGATAAAAACTAGAAGGAAGCTATCTGAGAAACTGCTGTGCAATGTATGCATTCAACTCGCAGAGTGAAAACTTTTCTTTCTTTCAGCAGTTTGGAAACACTGTTTTTGTAGATTCTGTGAAGGGATATTTGGGAGCGCATTGTGGCCTCTGGTGAAAAAAGAAATATCAACAGATAAAGTCTAGAAAGAAGCTTTCTGTGAAACTGCTTTCTGATGTGTGCATTAATCTCACAGAGCTAAACCTTTCTTTGGATTCAGCAGTTTGGAAACACTGTTTATTTCAATCTGGGAATGGACATTTTTGAGCTCATGAGGCCAAAGATGAAAAAACGAATATCCCAGGATAAAAACTAGAAGGAAGCTATCTGAGAAACAGCTTTGAGATGTGTGCATTCATCTTGCAGAGTTCAACCTTTCTTTTCGTTCAGCAGTTTGGAAACACTGTTTTGGTAGAATCTGCAAAGGGATATTTGTGAGCTCATTGAGGCCTATGGTGAAGAAAGAAATATCATCAGATAAAAATTAGAAAAAAGCCTTATGAGAAACTGCTTTGTGATTTGTGCATTCATCTCACAGAATTAAACATTTCTTTGGATTCAGCAATTTGGAAATACTGTTTTTGTCCATTGTACTAATGGACATTTCGGAGCTCATTGAGGCCAATGGCGAAAAAGTGAATATCCCAAGATAAAAATTATAAGGAAGCTATCTGAGAATCTGCTTTCTGATGTGTGCATTCATCTAACAGAGATAAACCTTTCTTTGGATTCAGCAGTTTGGAAACACAGTTTTGTCCATTCTGCAAATGGGCATTTGGGAGCTTATTGAGGATAAAGGTGAAAACGTGAATATCCCAGGATAAAAACTAGAAGGAAGCTTTCAGAGAAACTGATGTGTGCATTTACCTCATAGACTTAAACTTGTCCTTTCACTCAGAAGTCTGGAAACACTGTAATTTGGAAGTTTGGAATCTGTAAAGGGATATTTTCGGTGCTTTGAGACCTGTAGTGAAAAAAGAAATATATTCAGATAAACACTTAAAGAAGCTTTCTGAGAAACTGCTTTGTGATGCGTGCAATCCTTTCACAGACTTCAACCTTTCTGTGGATTCAGCAGTTTGGAAATACTGCGTTTTTCAATCTGCTAATGGACATTTGCAAGCTCATTGAGGCCATAGGCAAAAAAACTAATATCCCAGGATAAAAAAATAGAAGGAAGCTATCTGAGAAACTGCTGTGTGATGTGTGCAGTCATCTCACAGAATAAAACCTTTTTTGGATTCTGCAGTTTGGAAACACAGTTTTTGTCCATTTAGTGAATGGACATTTGGGATCTCATTGAGACAAAAGGCAAAATAGCAAATAATCCAGGATAAAAAGTAGACGGAAGCTATATGGGAAACCACATTGTGATGTGTGCATTCATCTCACGGAGTTAAAGTTTTCTTTTCATACAGCAATTTGGAAATACTGTTTTGGTAGATTCTGTGAAGGGATATTTGGGAGCACATTGAGGCCTATGGTGAAAAAGAAAATATTTCAGATGAAAACTAGAAAGAAGCTTTCTGAGAAAATGCTTTGTAATATGTGCATTCATGTAACAGAGTTAAACCTTTCTTTGGATTCAGCAATTTGGAAACACTGTTTTTATCCATTTTGCAAATGGACATTTGGGAGCTCATTGAGATCAATGGAGAAAAAGCGAATATCCCAGGATAAAAACTAGAAGGAACCTATCTGAGAAACTGCGGTGTGATGTGTGCATTCACCTCTCAGACTTAAACTTGTCTTTTCACTCAGCAGTTTGGGAACACTGTTTTTGAGAATCTGCAAAGAGATATTTGGGAGTGCTTTGAAGCCTAGAGTGAAAAATGAAATATCTTCAGATAAAAACTAGAAAGAACTTTTCTGAGAAACTTCTCATTGATATGTGCATTCATCTCACAGAGTTAAATCTTTCTTTGGATTCAGCAGTTTAGAAATCCTGTTTTTGTCCATTCTGCAAATGGACATTTGGGAGCTCATTGAGGCCAATGGCAAAAAAGTGAATATCCCAAGATAAAAACTAAAAGGAAGCTATCTGAGAATCTGCTTTGTGATGTGTGTATTCATCTCATGAGTTCAACCTTTCTTTTCATTCAGTTGTTTGGAAACACTGTTTTGGTAGAATCTGTGGAGAGATATTTTTGAGGACATCAAGGCCTGTGGTGAAAAAGCAACTATCTATAGATAAAAACTAGAAATATGCTATTTGAGAAACTGCTTTGTGAAATGTGCTGTCAACTCACAGAGTTAAATATTTCTTTGGAATCAGCTGTTTGGAAACACTGTTTTGGTAGAATCAGCAAAGAGGTACTTGGGAGCTCACTGTGGCCCCATGTGAAAAAGAAAATATCCCAGGATAAAAGTAGAAGGAAGCTATCCGAGAAACCATTTTGTCATGTGTTCATTTATCTCACAGAGTTAAAACTTTCTTTTAATTCTGTAGTTTGGAAACATTGTTTCAGTAGAGTCTGTGATGGGATGTTTGGGAGCTCATTGAGGTCTATGGGGAAAAATGAAACATCTTCAGATAAAAACTAGAAAGAAGCTTTCTGAGAATCTGCTTTGTGGTGTGTGCATTTATCTCACAGAGTTAAACCTTTCTTTGGAATTATTAGTTTGGAGACACTGTTTTTGTCCCAGAATGGACAATTGGGACCTCATTGAAGCCATTGGCAAAAAAATAAATAGACCAGGATAAAAAGTAGAAGGAAGGTATTGAAGAAACTGCTTTGTTATCTGTGTATTCATCTCGCTGAGTTAAATCATTCTTTTCATTCAGCAGTTTGGAAACACTGTTTTGGTAGAATCTGTGAGGGGATATTTGGGAATGCATTGAGGCCTATGGAGAAAAAAAAAATCTTCAGAAAAAAACTAGAAGGAAGATTTCTGAGAAACTGCTTTGTGATGTGTGCATTCATCTCACAGAGTTAAAGCTTTCTTTGGATTCAGCAGTTTGGTAACACTGCTTTTTCCATTCTGCAAATAGACATTTGGGATCTCATTGAGGCCAATGGTGAAATAGCAAATAACCCAGAATAAAAACTAGAGGGAAGCTATTTGAGAAAAAGCTTTGTGATCTGTTCATTCATCTCACAGAGTTGAACCTTTCTTTTAATTCAGCAGTTTGGAAACACTGTGTGGTGGAATCTGTGAAGGGATATTTCGAAGCACATTGAGGCCTACGTTGAAAAAGAAAGAATCTTCAGATAACAACTAGAAAGAAGCTTTCTGAGAAACTGCTTTGTGATGTGAGCATTCATCTCACAACAATCAAAGTATCCTTGTATTCAGCAGTTTTGAAACACTGTTTTTGTAGAATCTGAGAAGGGATATTTGGGACCTCATTGAGGCCAAAGCTGAAAAATCGAATATCTGAGGTTAAATACTAGAAGGAAGCTATCTGAGAAACCACTCTGTGATGTGTGCATTCATTTCACAGCGTGAAACTTTTCTTTTCATTCAGCAGTTTCAAAACAATGTTTTTTTAGAATCAGTGAAGGGATATTTTGGAGCACTTTGAGGCCTATGGTGAACAAGGAAGTACCTTCAGATAAAAACTAGAAGATGCTTACTGAGAAACTGCTTCGTTATGTGTGCACTAATTTCACAGTGTTAAAACTTTCCTTGGATTAGGCAATATGGGAACACTGTCTTGTAATATCTTGGAAGGTATATTTGGGAGGTCATAGAGGCCAATGTTGAAAAAGCAAATATCCCAGGATAAAAACTAGAAGGATGGAAGCTATCTGAGAAACCACTTTCTGATGTGTGACTTCATCTCACAGAGTTAAACCTTTCTTTTCCTTCAGCAGTTTGAAAACACTGTTTTCATAGAAGCTACAAAGGGATATTTAGGGGCTCTTTGAGGCCAAAGGTGAAAAAGTGAATATCCCAGGATAAAAACTAGAAGGAAGCTATCTGAGAAACTGATTTGTTATGTGTGCATTCAACTCGCTGAGTTAAACCATTGTTTTCTTTCAGCAGTTTGGAAACACAGTTTTGGTAGAATCTGTGAGGGAATATTTTTTAATGGATTGAAGCCTATGGAGAAAAAGGAAATAACTTCACATAAAAACTAGAAGGAAACTTTCTGAGAAGCTGCTTTGTGATGTGTGCATTCATCTGACAGAGTTAAAGCTTACTTTGTATTCAGCAGTTCAGAAACACTGTTTTTGTGCATTCTGCAAATGGATATTTGGGTACTCATTGAGGCCAATGGTGAGAAAAAAGAGAATAGACCAGGATAGAAACCAGAAAGAAGCAATCTGAGAAAATGTTTTGTGATATGTGCATTCATCTCGCCAAGGTAAACCTTTCTTATCATTCAGCAGTTTGGAAACACGGTTTTGGTAGAACCTGTGAAGGGATATTTGGGAGCACATTGAGGCCTATGGTGAAGAAAAATATATCTTCAGATAATAACTACAAAGAAGATTTCAAAGAAATTGCTTTGTGATGTATGTATTCATCACACAGAGTTAAACCTTTCTTTGGATTCTGCAGTTTGGAAACACTGTTTTTGTTCATTCTGGAATGGACTTTTGGGAGCTCATTGAGACCATTGGTGAAAAAGTGAATGGACCAGGATGAAAACTAGAAGGAAGCTAAATGAGAAACAGCTTTCTAATGTGTGCATTCATCTCACAGAGTTAAATCTTTCTTTTCATTCAGCCATTTGGAAACACTGTTTTCGTAGAATCTGCAATGGGATATTTGGGAGTGGATAGCAGATAGATATTTATCTGAAGGAAACATCTTCACATAAAAACTAGAAAGAATATTTCCAAGAAACTGCACTGTGATGTGTGCATTCATCTCACAGAGTTAAACCTTTCTTTGGATTCATCAGTTTGGAAACACTGTTTTTGTAGAATCTGCAAATGGATCTTTGGGAGCTCCATGAGGGTAAAGATGAAAAAATTAATATCCCAGGATAAAAAAAAACTATAAGGAGGTTACCTGAGAAACCTCTCTTTGATGTGTGCGTTCATCTCACAGAGATAAACCTTTCTTTTCATTCAGCAGTTTGGAAACCCTGTTTTGGTAGAATCTGTGAAGGGATATTTGGGAGTGCATTGAGGCCTATGGTGAAAAAGGAAATATCTTCAGACAAAAACTAGAAAGAAACTTTCTGAGAAACTGTTTTGTGCTGTGTGCATCATCTCACAGAGTTAAACCTTGCATTGGATTCAACAGTTTGCAAACACTGTTTTTGTAACATCTGTGAACGCATCGTTGGGAGCTCATTGAGGCCAAAGGCAAAAAAGTGAATATCCCAGGATAAAACTAGAAGAAATCTGTCTGAGAAGCAGCTTTGTGATGTTTCCATTCATATTGCAGAGTTAAACCTTTCTTTTCATTCAACAGTTTGGAAACACTGTTTTGGTAAAATCTGTGAAGGGATATTTGGGAGTGCACTGAAGGCTATTGTGAAAAAGGAAAAAATCTTCAGATAAACACAAGAAATAAGATTTCTGAGAAACTGCTTCATGATGTGTGTATTCATCTCACAGTGTTCAACTTTTTTTTTGATTCAGCAGTTTGGAAACACTGTTTTTGTCCCATCTGTGAATGGACATTTGGGAGCTCAATGAGGCCAATGTTGAAAAGGCAAATATCTCAGGATAAAAACTAGAAGAAAGGTATCTGAGAAATCGCTTTCTGAGGTGTGCATTCATTTTGCAGAGTTAAAACTTTCTTTTCATTCAGCAGTTTGGTAACCTAGCTTTTGCAGAATCTGCAAAGGGATATCTGGCAGCACATAGAGGCCTATGGTGAAAAGGAAATGTCTTCAGAGAAAAAGTAGAAAGAAGCTTTTGAGAAACCACTTTGTGATGTGTGCATTCATCTCATAGAGATAAACCTTCCTTTGGATTCAACTGTTTGGAAACACTGTTTTTTTAGGATCTGTGAAGGGATACTTGGGAGCTCATTGAGGCCAATGGCAAAAAAAAAGTGAATATCCCAGGATAAAAACTAGAAGAAAGCTATCTGAGAAACAGCTTTGTGATGTGTGCCAGCATCTCACACAGTTATACTTTCTTTTCAATAAGCAGTTTGGGGCTGGGCCCAGTGGCTCACGCCTGTAATCCCTGCACTTTGGGAGGCCGAGGCCAGTGGACCATGAGATCAGGAGTTCAAGACCATCCTGGCTAACACAGTGAAACCTCGTCTCTACTAAAGATACAAAAAATTAGCTGGACCTGGTGGCGGGTGCCTCTAGTTCCAGCTACTTGGAAGGCTGAGGCAGGAGAATGGCGTGATTCCCAGGAGGCAGAGCTTAAAGTGAGCCAAGTCCGCACCACTGCACTCCAGCCTGGGTGACGGAGGTAGACTCTGTCTGAAGAAAAAAATAAGCAGTTTGGAAACCCTGTTTTGGCAGAATCTGTGAAGGGATATTTGTGAGGGCATTGAGGCCTATGGTGAAAAAGGAAATATCTTCAAATAAAAGCTAGAAAGAAGCTTTCTGAGAAACCACTTTGTGATGTGTGCATTCATCGGACAGAGTTAGACTTTCCTTTGGATTCAGCAGTTTGAAAACACTGTTTTTGTCCATTCTGCAAATGGACATTTTGGAGTACATTGAGGACAAAGGCAAAAAAGTGGATATCCCAGGATAAAAATTAGAAGTAATCTATCTGAGAAACCACTTTGTGATGTGTGCATTCATCTCACAGAGTGAAACCATTCTTTTCATTCAGCAATTTGGAAACTGTTGCGGGAAGTCAGGCACCCCGAACAGATGGGCCGGCTGAAGCCATGGGAGAAGAACACAAATTCTGAATATTTCATGGACATTTATTAGTTCCCCAAATTAATACTTTTATAATTTCTTACACCTGTCTTTACTTCAGTCTCTGAACGTAAATTGTGATGATTTCATGGACATTTAGTACTTCCCTAATCAATATTCCAGTGATTTCCTATGCCTGTCTTTAGTCTCTTAATCCTGTCATCTTCATAAGCTGATGATGTATGTCACTTCAGGACCCTGTGATGTTTGTGATAACTTCACTAATTGTTTAAACAATATGAAATCTGGGCATCATGAAAAAAGAACAGGATAACAGTGATGTTCAGGGAACAAGGGAGATAACCATTAAGTCTGGCTGCCTGAGAGCCATGCAGAACAGAGCCATATTTCTCTTCTTTCAAAAGCAAGTAGGAGAAAGATCACTGAATTCTTTTCTCAGCAAGGAACAGCCCTGAGAAAAAGAATGCATTCTCAGGGTTACATCTCTAAAATGGCTGCTCTGGGAATGTCTGTCTTTTACAATTGCTGATAAGGGATGAAATAAGCCCCAGACTCCTGAAGCACTTTCCTGCCTATTAGGACAACAAAATTCCTGCCTTGTAAATTTTTGTCAGATCGGTTGTTTGCTCTCAAACCATGTCTCCTGATAAGATGTTATTAATGACAATGTGTGCACAAAACTTCATTAGCAATTTTAATTTCACCCTGGTCCTGTGAGCTTCCCCTGCCTCCATTTGCCTTGCAATATTTTATTACCTTGTGGAGCATGTGATCTCTGTGACTCACACCCTATTCCTACACTCCTTCCGCTTTGAAAATCACTACTAAAAACTTGCTGGTTTTGGGGCTTGGGTGGCATCAGGGAACCTGTTGAAATGTGAGGTTTCACTCTGATACCAAGCTTTAAAATTCTCTTTTTTGTTCTCTTTCCCTTTATTTCTCAGACTGGTTTATACTTAGGGAAATAGAAAAGAACCTATGTGAAATACATTGAATTATTGGGAGCATGTTCACCCGATATCTGGCACCTCAATGTGGTTTTTTCTTTTTCCCAAGTGCATGTGGGAACCCAATTCCCTTTGGCAGGTGTGGAAAAACATCATCAGTTTGGTCCACAGAAACGCTTGTTCGACTCCCTGATGACTGGTGAGTAGTCTGTGTATGGTCCAGGTTAACCATGGGTCATGCAGAGTCTAACATCATGCTTATCTCTGCTATATTAAACTCCTGTTAAAACAGGGTGGTTTCTGAGTAACCATGGAAAATATGGTCACTCTATTCAAGGCAGTAGAAAAACACTGTCCTTGGTTTCCTGAAAAAGGAACCTTAGATGTAGAACAATGGGATCATGTTGCTGCAATATTCTGGCAACTTGTCTCCACTGGGAATTATGTTCCCATCACAGTTTGTGGTAATTGGGCCTTGGTACATACCGTCATGATGACATACCAATCCTGTGAGCCCCTACGGTTACCACAATTTTCTGAATCTGATGACACTCCACCTCTTCCTCAACCTTCCCCTCCTACATGGCCTTTGTTATCTAATCAGCCTCTCCCTTTGGCTACTCCTCCCCCACTTGATGATGTTGAGAATTCAATGTCTACCTCTGGGGACTTTGGATTACAGTCACCCCCTGATTATCTTATTTCTCTTCATGAATAGCCGGTACTTGTAGCCCCCGCAGCCTCGACTCCGACAGCCCAGGACCATATATATGCTAATTCTTCTCTCTTCAAACCTCCAGAGTCACCTAATGGCTCCAGGAACAAACTACAATTTACTTATAATTCTTCAGGCCCTCCCTCATCCACTTCAGCCCCTCAACCTCCTGTCATTTTGGTTCCTTATCCAGTCACTTTGCCATCCACGCAGCCTGCTTCTCTGTACCCTTCTTCACACATGGACACTCGTAATCACCAGTATACTTATGCTCCTGCTGCCCCAATGCCCCTTTCTCACACTCTCCTTCCAGTCCGACCCCCTCCACCTCAGTTTCCCTCATCTACACATGCTTTTCCTGTCACTTCTATGCCAACATCATCTCAGATGCCTACTCTTGAAACTTCAATGCAATGCTTATTATGCCAAAACAAAGAAACGGGATTAGATGCATGACCTTATCTGGTCATGCTACACCCTTCCAACTTCCCAGAGGTACAAATGCATCATTAGGTACCTCTTAAGCTTATATTTTTAAAAGAATTTAAGGATGCTTGTACTCAGTATGGTCCTACTTCTCCTTATGTCAAAATGGTATTACAAACTTTGTGTACTGAAGTCATTTTGCTTCCTTTAGACTGGGGCATTTTGGCAAAAGCTGTTCTAACCCCATCTCAGCATTTACAATTTCGTACCTGGTGGTCAGAAGAGGCCCATTTGCAGGCTCAGCTAAATCAGAATAATGACATTCTAATTACTCAGGCTCAGCTCACAGGCTCCGATAGTTTCTCTCATGCTTATGCCCAATTAAACTTTGATGTTCTTATGTATGAGAGCTTGGGATAAATTAGACACTCCAGGCCAAGCTCCTGTTTCTTTTACCACAGTTAAATAAGGTCACTCTGAATTATACCCTGATTTTTTAGCTAAATTACAAGATGATGTTCAAAAACTTGTCTCTGATGAGAGCTCAAGGTATTCTTCGTATGTTAGCTTTTGAAAATGCTAACCATGAGTGTGAAATGGCCTTGAGTTCTGTCCAAAGACAAAATTTACCTGATCACGAGGTGTTGCCTACATATATTAAAGTTTGTGAAGGCATTGGATCAGACACCACAAACCTATTCTGTGGGTATGGGCCATGAAGGATACCAACCAAACTCATCCCACTAATTCTTTCCTTGGAGCCTGCTATAATTGCAGTCAACTTGGTTATACTCGGAAAAATTGCACTGTTAAAAACTTTAAAGCAGCTAAGCCAGCTCAACAAACATGGCCAAATTCTGCTGCTACTTTTTGCCCACGATGTTGCAAAGGTAAACATAGGGAAAGTAATTGCAGCTCTCAGTATGATATAGATGGAAATCCCCTGCCACAACACCAGGAAAATGGGGAGCAGGGCTGGTCCCAGGCCGTGATATCAAATGAGATGCTTCAGACTCAAAATGATGTTTCATTTCCACTTCAGGCTGTCCCAGTGCAACCCCCAGCACAAACAAATTCACTTACAGCCAACCCAAATGGGTCCCAGCCTCTTCTTTTGCCTCAGTACAATGCTTGTCCACCTCCATGGTAGAGGGTGGGGCGGTTGATATCTGTAGTAGTATTCTTCTAAGTTTACTACCTAACTCTTTGCCGTTAATTGTCCCCACAGGGGTCACTCGCCCTTTACCTCAAGGTTTGGTGGGCCTGGTTTTAGGTAGGGCATCTACCTCTGCTAAAGGAATCACAATTCATACTGGTCTCATTAATTCTGATTCCATTAATGAGATTAAATTAATCACCTGTGCCAAGGTTCCTGTTTCCATTCGGGCCAGTGAGGCAGTTGCTTAATTGCTTTTACTACCTAATATCATTTTAAACAAAGCAGATGAGACACGTGACCCTGGGATTGGCTCCAGTGGTGAAAAGGCTGCTTATTAGATTAATATAATTTCTAAACCATGGCCCACCTGCACCATACACATTCAAGGAAAAAAGTTTGAAGGCCTAGTAGATACTGGGGCTGATGTTTTTTTATTTCCTCCAGCTTATGGCCTTCCTCCTGGCTTAAAAATCCCACTAACACGGAACTACTAGGTGTTGAAAAAGCTGAGGAAGTTTATGAGAGCACATTTATCTTGACTTGCACTGGCCCTGATGGTCAAAAGGGTACAATCAATCAGCCTTATATCACTCCAATCCCCATTAATCTTTGGGGTAGAGATGCACTGGCACAATGTGGTGCTGAAATTAATATTCCACATAAGTCTTATAGTGCTCCCAGTCAGCATATGATGGAAAACATGGGGTTTGTTCCTGGACTCAGTCTCGGTCCAAAACATGAAGCAATTACTAAACCTCTTCCAGTTACTGTAAAAGAAAACAGGGCAGGTTTAGGTTATCCTTTTTAATGGCAGCCTCTGCCACTCCTCCTAATCCCATCCCTTTACAATGGAAATCTGACACACCCATTTGGATTCAGCAGTGGCCGCTTTCTAAAGAAAAACTGGAGGCTTTAACTCACTTGGTTTCTGAACAGTTACAACTTGGAAATGTGCAACCTTCTTTTTCCTCCTGGAATTCTCCTGTGTTTCTAGTAAAAAAGAAATCAAGGAAGTGGTAGATGGTAACTGATTTAAGGGTCAATAATGCTGTAATTAAACCTATGGGGGAAGTCCAACCCAGCATGCCTGCCCCGGCTTTAATACCTAAAAATTGGCCTCTCATAGTTATTGATTTTAAAGATTGTTTTTTTGTTTGCATATTTTTTTCTTTACATAATTGTTTTTTTCTTTACATAAATCAGATTGTGAAAAATTTGCTTTTACTATACCATCTATCAATAATCAAGAGCCTGCAGCTCATTATCAATGGAAAGTACTTCCTCTTTCCATTTCGCAATGGAAATAAATAAATATCATTTCTATTTAGCAATGGAATGCTAAATAGCCCTAAAATCTGCCAGCTTTATGTTGGACAAGTGCTTTCACCAGTTCGAGCCCTATTTCCCCAAACCTATATTTTTCATTATATTGATGGTATTTTAGTTGCTGCCCCCACAGATAAAGAATTAATTGACTCTTATCAAAGTTTGAACCACTGTGTTACAGAGGCTCGATTACATATTGCTCAGGATAAAATTCAACATACCACTCCTGTTCAATATTTAGAAATGGTGGTCGATAAGCAACATGTTCAACCTGAAAAAGTTTAAATTAGGAGAGATTCTTTGAAAACTTTAAATGACTTCCAAAAACTTTTGGGTAATAGTAATTATTTAAGACCTACTTTATGCATTCTGAACTATGCACTGTCTAACTTGTTTTCTATGCTGAGGGGAGATTCTAATCTCCACAGTCCCAAGACGTTGACCCCTGAGGCTTCAGTAGACCTGGAATTCAAAGAGGAAAGAATCCAGACCACCCAGTTATCTAGAGTACAGCCATTTCATCCTTTTCAGCTTCTGATTTTTGCTTCATTATACTCCACTACTGGACTAATAGTTCAACATAATGATTCAGTGGAGTGTTGTTTTCTTTCTCATTCTGTGTCAAAAACTTTTTCTGTTTATCTAGATCAAATGGCCACTCTAATTGGACAGGCATGGTGTAGAATACTTAAAATTTTTCTATTTGATCTGAATTTAATTGTGGTTCCTTTAAATCAGCTCGAAGTTCAAGTCACCTTTCAACATTCCGTACTGTGGCAAATTCACTTGGCTGATTTTATTGGCCTTATTGATCATCATTGTACAAAGAACAAATTGTTTGATTTTGTAAAAATTACGTCTTGGATGGTCCCTCAATTAACCAAAGCCCAGCCCATTCCTGAGGCTGTTACAGTGTTCACTGATGTTCACTGATGGCTCCAGTAATGGCAGTGCTGGTTATGTAGGTCCTACAGATGAGCTTATTTCTAGCTCTTTTACCTCTACTCAAAAGGCAGAGTTAATTGCTATGCTTACTGCCTTACGGGATTTCCCCAAACCTTTAAATATTATCTCAGATTCTGCTTATGTTGTACATGCCACTAAAATACAGAAACTTCTACTATCAAACATATTGATAATTCTGAATTGCCTTCTTTATTTTAAAGGTTACAACAGGCTGTTCACCAATGTAGACACCCTTTCTATATTACGCATATTAGATCTCATACCACTTTACCAGGACCCATGTCTGCTGGTAATCATAAAGTTGACTCTTTTGTATCTTTTGCAACCCAAGAAGCTCAGGAGTTCCATAATCTCACTCAGGTCAATGCTGCTGGATTAAAAGATAAATTTGCTCTTACCTGGAAACAGGCTAAGCTTATTGTTCACAGCTGTCCTCAGTGCCAAGTTTTTGTACTTCCAAATCAGGAACCTGGTGTTAATCCCAAGGCCTAAATCCTAATGATTTATGGCAAATGGATGTGAGCCATGTTAGGTCCTTTGGCAGACTGTCATATGTGCATGTCTCTGTAGATACATTCTCAGGTTTTATCTGGGCTACTTGCCAAACAGGGGAAGGCATGGCCCGTGTTAAAAAACATCTGTGTACTTGCTTTGCAGTTATGGGTCTTCCACATCAAATAAAGACAGACAATGCCCCTGGATATGTTAGTAAGGCTTTTGATTTATTTATACAACAGTGGGGAATTTCCCATATTACTGGAATCCATTATAATCCTCAGGGACAAGTTGTGGTGGAGCAGGCCAATCACGCTTTAAAAACCCAATTGTCCAAACAGTCTGAACAACCAAAACATAATTTAACTACCCCCCACTCCCAATTACATTTGGCATTGTTTACTTTAAATTTTTTTTAATGTTCCTAAAGATAATAATCTAACTGCAGCCAAATGCCATTATACAGGCAAAAAATTCTCCCTAAATGAAGGCAATCCAAAGTTATGGAAAAATTCCCAAACCAATACGTGAGAATATGGCACAATTATAACGTGGGGAAGGGGATATGCTTGTGTTTCACCAGGAGATCTGGTCTGGGTACCCATCAGGAGACTCAAGCTTCAGGTGAATACTGACCATGAAAACCACAGAGAAAAGATATCCGTGTTAGAGACTGCCCTCAGATGTGGTGAGTTCTGGGTCAACTCCTTAGAACCTGGCACACCAAATCACAATGGGTCTGATTCAATCCTCCCTGATGGCAATGGAGACCCATCTAACTAATCTCACTTCTCCTGATTACCTTTTTTTCTCCTTACAAACCTAAAAATCTCACTATTTCTATTAGCCTAAAAATGTGAACCCCCTGTTCTTCTTTCTCCTTCAGCACTCAATCTCACTTACAATAGGTTTTATTTAATGATTCTCCTCTTTATACTTTCTGTCTCAACGGTTTCCTCTCACAATGATTTACGTGCTACACAAAATTATTCTTATTGGGCTTATGTGCCTTTTCCTCCACTGATTTGACCTCTCACCTGGATGGATTCTCCTGCAAAAACCTACACTAACAATAGTGTGTGGATGCCTGGAGCTACAGATGACCATTGCCGTGCTCAACCAGGAAAAGAAGGCACTGCATTTGATATTACCATGGGTTATAAATACCCCCCTCTGTGCCTCGGACATTTGCCTGGTTGTATCCATCTAAAAACTCAAGTCTGAGATGCTTATCTTCCGTATAGGTCAGCTACAGAGGAACCGGTACATTTGGTCTCTGGCCTCTCCCTATCTCCTTTAAAACGAATGAAAGTGGGAGTAATGGGAGATACCCCATACTTTCAATATAAACCTGCAGGAAAGCCATGCCCTAAACATTATAAGGGTCCATCTAAAACTTTAACTTGGGAAGATTTTGTTAACTCACATGCAGTAATATTAAAAAATGACTCATATTGTTGGTAATAGACTGGGAACCAAAGGGCTATTTAAAAAACAATTGCTCCTCTGTCAGAACGGAATGCCTGGAGGCTATTTATTTCATTTCTTAACGGGACAATGAGAATCATCATTCTGCTTTGCATATGAGGTTCAGCTCATTCTTTCCCTTAAAATGGGAAGATAAATCTTTTACCCCCACTCCCCTCCCTGAGGCCTCATATAATACTCCCGATTCTGAGCCCAGAATACTCAGAAGCTTGGAAATTGGCTATTGCTATGTCTGAACTGCAAGTATGGGAAGGGGAAACTATGCAGTTTGTTTTTCCCACTACCGCTCCTATCTCTCAGTAGCAATGTAGACCCAGACATTCTGCTTTACTTACTTCCAAACTGACTATTCCTATACAGAGTTGTGTTAAGCCTCCTTACATACTGTTAGTGGGAAATATCAAAATTTGGACAAACAATCAAACTGTCCAATGCATTAATTGTCATTTATACAGTTGTATTAACTCCCATTTTGACTCCAGGAAAAGAGTAACGTTGGTTCAAGCTCGAGAAGGAATCCGGATTCTGGTAACTGCCCAGACATTGGGAATCCTCTCCCTCAATACATTTAATTAATGAAGTGTTACAGTGAATTCTAAAAAGATCTAAGAGATTTGTTTTCACTTTAATCGCTGTGATCATGGGCCTAATTACAGTCACTGCAATGGTGACCACTACTGGAATGGCATCACACCAATCTATTCAAAAGGCTCATTTCGTTAATGATTGGCAAGCCAATTCCACCCAAATGTGGAATTCTCAACAAGGCATTGATCAAAAATTGGCTAATCAAATTAATGATTTAAGACAGTCTGTTATTTGGCTTGGAGATTGGGTAGTGAGTCTTGAACATCACATCCAAATGCAGTCTGTTTGGAACACTCCTGATTTCTGTATCACCATGTATTCCTATAATGAGACTGATCATGGCAAATGGTGAAAGGACGCCTTTTTGGTAGGGAAGATAATTTATCATTGGACATAACTAAATTAAAGAAACAAACTTGTGAAGCCTCTCAAGCTCATTTAACCATTGTGCCTGGAGCAGAGGCATTAGATCAGGTGCAGAAAATATTTCTGGATTAAACCCCACGACTTGGATTAAGTCTGTTGGGGGATCCACTGTAGTAAATTTTGGAAATATGTTTCTCTGTTTAATTCGCTTGTCTTTAGTGTGCTGGACCAGTCAAAGAATCTTGCATGAAAATTGAGAGAACAAACAAGCCTTCATCACCATGGCGCATTTTTATGGAAAGAAAGGGAGAGATGTTGTGGGAAGTCAGGGACCGTGAATGGAGGGACTGGCTGAAGCCATGGCAGAAGAACATAAATAGTGAATATTTCATGGACATCTATTAGTTCCCCAAATTAATACTTTTATAATTCCTTACGCCTGTCTTTACTGCAATCTCTGAACCAAAATTGTGAAGATTTCATGGACATTTATCACTTCCCCAATCAATACTCTTGTGATTTCTTATGCCTGTCCTTACTTTAATCTATTAATCTTCCTAAGTTGAAGATGTATGTCACCTCATACATAATGCAATAATGCAGTTATTGCATTAACTGTACAAATTGTTTAAACAATATGAAATCTGGGCACCTTGAAAAAAGAAAAGGATAACAGTGATAGTCAGGGAACAAGGGAGATAACCATTAGGTCTGGCTGCCTGAGAGCCAGGTGGAGCAGAGCCATATTTCTCTTCTTTCAAAAGCAAATAGGAGAAATATCACTGAATTCCTTTTCTTAGAAAGGAACAGTCCTGAGAAAGAATGCATTCACAGGAGGAGGTCTCTCAAATGGCCACTCTGGTAATGTCTGACTTTACAGTTGAAGATAAGGGATGAAATAAGCCCCAGTCTCCTGTAGCACTCCCAGGCCTATTAGGATGAGAAAATTCCTGCCTAGTAAATATTGGTTAGACCGGTTGTCTGCTCTCAAACCCTGTCTCCTGAAAAGATGTTGTCAACAACAATGCGTGCCCAAAACTTCATTAGCAATTTCAATTTCTCCCTGGTCCTGTGATCTCGCCCTGCCTCCGTTTGCCTTGTAATGTTTTATTACCTAGTGAAGCATGTTATCTCTGTGATCCACACTCTATTCATACACTCCATCCCCTTTGAAAATCACTAATAAAAACTTGCTGGTTTTGTAGCTTCGGAGCATCAAGGAACCTGCCGATATGTGATGTCTCCCCCAGACACCCAGGTTTAAAATTTCTCTCTTTTGTATTACTTCTCTTTATTTCTCAGACTGGCCAACATTTAGGGAAATAGAAAAGAAACTACGTGAAATATGTTGAATTACTGGAGGTGGTTTCCCCTGATAATTCAGTAGATTGGGAACACGTTTTTGGTAGGATCTGTGAAGGGATATTTGGGAGCACATTGAGGGCTAAGGTGAAAAAGGGAATATCTTCAGATAAAAACTTGAAAGAAGCTTCCTGAAAAACCTCTGTGTGATGAGTGCATTCATCTCACAGAGTGAAACTTTCTTTAGACTCAACGATTTGGAAACACTGTTTTTGTAGAATCTGCAAAGGGATATTTGGGAGATCATTGAGGCCGAATGTGAAAGAGCAAATATCCCAGGATAAAAACCAGAAAGAAGGTATCTGAGAAACTGCTTTGTGATGTGTGCATTCATCTCACAGAGTTAAACCACGACTTCCATTAGGCAGTTTGGAAACCCTGTTTTTGGAGAATCTGTGAAAGAATATTTGGGATCGCATTGAGGCCGATGGTTATAAAGGAAATACCTTCCGACAAAATCTAGAAAGAAGCTTTCTGAGAAACTGCTTTGGATGTGTGCATTCATCTCACAGAGTTAAAAGTTTCTTTGGATTCAGCAGTTTGGAAACACAGTTTTTGTCCTTTCTGCAAATGTACATTTGGGAGCTCACTGAGACCAATTGCGAAAAAGGGAATAACCCAGGAAAAAACTAGAAAGAAGCTATCTGAGAAACAGCTTGGTGATGTGTGCATTTATCTTGCAGAGTTAAAGCTTTCTTTTAATTCAGCAGTTTGGAAAAACTGTTTTGTTAGAGTCTATGAAAGGATGTTTCAGCAGGCATTGAAGCCTATGGTGAAAAAGGAAAAATCTTCAGATGAAAAATAGAAAGAAGCTTTCTGAGAAACTGCTTTGTGATGTGTGTATTCATCTCACAGAGTTCAACCTTTCTTTGGTTTCAGCAGTTTGGAAACACTGTTTATTTCAATCTGTGAATGGACATTTTTCAGCTCATTTAGGCCAAATGTGAAAAAGGAAATATCCCAGCATAAAAACTAGAAGGAAGCTCTATGAGAAACCGCCTTCCTTTGTGTGCATTCATCTCACAGAGTTAAACTGATCTTTTCATTCAGCAGTTTGGAAACACTGTTTTTTAGATTCTGCAAAGGGATATTTGGGAGCACTTTGAGGCCTATAGTGAGAAAGGAAATATATTCAGATAAAACTGGAAAGAAGCATTCTGAGAAACAACTTTGTGCTGTATGCATTCATCTCACAGAATTAAAGGTTTCCTTGGATTCAGCAGTTTGGAAACACTCTTTTGTCCATTCTGCGAATGGACTTTAGGGAGCTCATTGAGGCCAATGACCAAAAAAGTGAATATCCCAGGATTAAAAACTAGAAGGAAGTTATCTGAGAAACTGCTTTGTGATGTGTGCATTCATCTCGCAGAGTTAAACCTTTCTTTTCATTCAGCAGTTTGGAAACCCTGTTTTGGTAGAATCTGTGAAGGAATATTTAGGAGTGCATTGAGGCCTAAGTTGAAAAAGGAAATATCTTGAGATAAAAACTAGAAAGAAGCTTAGTGAGAAACTGCTTTGTGATGTGTGCATTCATCTCAGAGAGGTAAACCTTTCTTTATATTCAGCAATTTCAAAGCAATGTTTTTGTAGAGTCTGCAACAGGATATTTGAGAGCAAATTTTGACCAAAGGCAAAAAAGCAAATATCCCAGGATAAAAACTAGAAGGAAGCTATCTGAGAAACTGCTTTGTGATGGGTACCTTCATCTCACAGAGTTAAACGTTATTTTTCATTCTGCAGTTTGGAAACACTGTTTTTGTAGAGTCTGCAGAGGGATATTTGGGAGCATTTGAGGCGTATAGTGAAAAAGGAAATATCTTCAGATAAAATCTCAAAAGAAGCTTTCTGAGAAACTATTTTGTTGTACGTGCTTTCATCTCAAACAGTTAAACCTTTCTTTTGGTTGAGCAGTTTGGAAACACTGTTTTTGTTCCTCTGCAAATGGATATTTGGGAGCTCATTGAGACCAATGGCAAAACAGGGAATAACCCAGGATAAAAACTAGAAAGAAGCTATCTGAGAAACCGCATTGTGATGTATGCATTCATCTCACAGAGTTACAGTTTTCTTTTCATTCAGCATGTTGTAAATCCTATTTAGGTAGAATCTGCAAAGGGATATTTGGGAGTACATTGAGGGCTATGGTGAAAAAGGAAATATATCCATATAAAAACTAGAAAGAAGCTTTCTGTGAAACTGCTTTGTTATGTGTGGTTTTATCTCAAATAGTTAAACATTTCCTTTGATTCAGCAGTTTGTAAACACTGTTTTTGTTCGTTCTGCAATTGGACATTTGAGAGCTCATTGAGGCCAATGGTGAAAAAGTGAGTATTCCAGGTTATAAACTAGAAAATTCTATCTGAGGAACCTCTTTTTGATATGAGCATTCATCATGCAGATGTAAAGCTTTATTTTCATTCAGCAGTTTGGAAACACTCTTTTGGTAGAAACTGCAAAGGAATATTTGGGAGCACATTGTGGCCTATGCTGAAGAAGGAAAAAATTTCAGATGAAAACTAGAAAGAGGTTTTTGATATACTACTTTGTGATGTGTGCATTCATCTCACAGTATTAAACCTTTCTTTGGATTCAGCAGTTTGGAAACACTGTTGTTGTAGAATCTGCTAAGGGGTATTTCATAGCTAAGTGAGGGAATAGGCAAAAAAGTGAATATTCCAGGTTAAAAACGAGAAAAAATCTGTTGGGAAAACCGCTTTGTGATGTGTGCATTCATCTCACAGAGTTAAACCTTTCTTTTCATTCAGCAGTTTGGAAACACTGTTTTTGTAGAGTCTGCAAAGGGATATTTGGGAGCACATTGAGGCCAATGTTAAAAAAGGAAGTATCTTCAGATAAAAATTGAAAGAAATATTCTGAGAAACTGCTTTTTGATGTAGCACTCATCTCACAGTGTTAAACATTTCTTTGGATTCAGGAGTTTGGAAACACTGTTTTTGTCCATTCTGCGAATGGACATTTGTGAGGTAATTGAGGCCAATGATGAAAAAGGGAATATCCCATGATAAAAACTAGAAGAAATCTATCTGAGAAACTGCTTTATGATGTTTGCATTCATCTCACATAGTTAAACTTCTGCTTTCATTCAGCAGTTTGGAAACGCTGTTTTGTTAGAATAAGTAAAGGGGTATTTGGGAGCGCATTGAATCCTATGGTGAAACAGGCAATATCTTCAGATCAAAAGTAAAGAGAAGCTTTCTGAGAAACTGCTTTGTGATGTATGCATTCTTCTCACAGAATTAAACCTTTCTTCAGAATTGGCAGTTTGGAAACACTGTGTTTGTAGAATCTACGAAGATATTTTAGATAGCTCATTGAGGGCATATGGCAAAAAGTGAATATCCCAGGATTAAAACTGGAAAGAAGCTATCCGAGAAACCGCTCTGTGATGTGTATATTCATCTCGCAGTGTTAAACATTTATTTTCTTTCAGTAGATGGAAACACTGTTTTTATAGAATCTGCCAAGAGATATTTAGAAGCGCATTGAGACCTATGGTGAAAAAGGAAACATCTTCAGATAAAAACTAGAAGGAAGGTGTCTGAGAAGCCACTTTGTAATGTGTGCATTCACCTCGCAGACTTAAACCTATCTTTTAATTCAGCAGTCTGGATTCACTGTTTTTGCAGAATCTGTGAAAGGATATTTGGGAGCCCATTCTGGCCTAAGGTGAAAAAGGAAATATTTTCAGATAAAAACTAGAAGGAAGCCTTCTAAGAAACTACTTTGTGATGCGGGCATTCATCTCACTGAATTAAACATTTCTTTGGATTCAGCTGTTTGGAAACACTGTTTTTCTCCATTCTGTGAAAGGACATTTGGGAGCTCTTTCAGGCCAATGATGAAAAAGAAAATATCCCAGGATAAAAACTGGAAGGATGCTATCTGAGAAGCTGCTTTGTTATGTGGGCTTTCATCTCACAGAGTTAACCTCTCTTTTCATTCAACAGTTTGTAAACACTGTTTTGGTTGTATCTGTTAAGGGCTATTTGGGAGCACATTGAGGCCTACGGTGAAAAAGGAAATGTCTTCATATAAAAACTGGAAAGAAGCTTTCTGAGAAACTGCTTTGTGATGTGTGCCTTCATCTCACAGAGTTAAACCATTCTCTGGAATCAGCAGTTTGGAAACACGTTTTTGTCCATTCTGCAAATGGAATTTTGGGAGTTCATTGAGAACAATGGTAAAAAAGCAAATTTCCCAGGATAAAAACTAGAAAGAAGCTATCTGAGACACTGCTTTGTTACATGTGCATACAACTTGGAGAGATAAATGTATCTTTTCATTCAACAGTTTGGAAACTCTGTTTTTGTAGAATCTGCAAAGGGATATTTCAGAGTGCATTGAGGCCTATGGTGAAAAAGAAATTATCTTCAGAAGAAAACTAGGAAGAGGCTTTCTGAGAAACTACTGTGTGATGTGTTCATTCATCTCACAGAGTTAAAACATTCTTTGGATTCAGCAGTTTGGAATCACTGTTTTTGTCTATTCTGTGAATGGACATTTGGGAGCTCATTGAGGCCAATGGCAAAAAAGCGAATATCCCAGGATTAAAACGAGAAGAAAGATATGCGAGAAACTGCTTTGTGATGAATGCATTCATCTCACAGAGGCGAACCTTGCTTTTTTCCTTTAGCCATTGGGAAACACTGTTTTGGCAGAATCTGGGAAGGGATATTTGGAAGTGCATTGAGGCCTATGGTAAAAAAGAAAATATCTTCAGATAAAAACTAGAAAGGAGCTTTCTGAGAAACTGCTTTGTGATGTGTGCATTCATCTCACAGAGTTAAACGATTCTTTGGATTCTGCAGTTTGGAAACACTGTTTCTGTAGAATCTGTGGAGGGATATTTGGGAGCTCATTGAGGCCAATGGTGAAAAACAAAATATCCCAAGATAAAAACTAGAAGGAAGTTATTTGAGACACCACTTTGTGATATATGCATACATCTCACATAGTTAAACCTTTCTCTTCATTCAGCAGATGGGAAACATTGTTTCTGTGGAATCTGCAAAGGGATATGTTGGAGTGCATTGAGGCCTATGGTGAAAAAGGAAATATCTTCAGATAAAAACTACAAAGAAGCTTTCTGAGAAACCGCTTTGTGATGTGTGCATTCATCTCACAGAGATAAAGCATTCCTTGGATTTAGCAGTTTGGAAACACCGTTTTTGTAAAAGTTGGGAAGGCAAATTTTATATCTCATTGAGGCCAATGGCAAAAAAGTGAATATCCCGGGATAAAACCTAGAAGGAATCTATCTGAGAAGCTGTTTTATGATGTGTGCATTCATCTCACAGTTAAACATTTCTTTTCATTGAGCACTTTGGAAACACTGATTTGGTAGTATCTACAAAGGGATATTTCAGAGCGCATTGAAGTCTACGGTGAAAAAGGAAATATCTTCAGGTAAAAAACTGAAAGAAGATTTCTGAGAAACTGCTTTGTGATGTGTGCGTTCATCTCACAGAGTTAAACCTTTCTTTGGATTCTGCAGTTTGGAAACACTGTTTTTGTACATTCTGCGTATGGACATTTGGGAGTTCATTGAGGCCTATGGTGGAAAAGTGAATATCCCAGGATAAGAACCAGATGGAAGCTATCTGAGAAACTGCTTTGTGATGTATGCATACATCTTGCATAGTTAAACCTTTCTTTTCATTCAGCAGTTTGGAAACACCGGTTTTGTAGATTCTGTGAAGGGATATTTAGGAGCACATTGAGGCCTATGGTGAAAAAGGAAATATCTTCAGATAAAAGCAGAAAGAAGCTTTCTCAGAAACTGCCTTGTGATGTGTGCATTCATCTTACAGAGTTAAGTGTTTGTTGGACTCAACAGATTGGAAACACTGTTTTTGTATAATCTGTCAGGGATTTTTGAGAGCTCATTGAGGCCAAAGGCAAAGGAGAGAATATCCCAGGATCAAAACTAGAAGGAAACTATCTGAGAAACTCCTTTGTGATGTATGCATTCATCTTGCAGAGTTAAACTTTTCTTCGGATTCAGCAGTTTGGAAACACTGTTTTTGTAGTATCTGTGAAGGGATATTTGATAGGTCATTGAGGCTAAATGCAAAAAAGCAAATAACCCAGCATAGAAGCTAGAAGGAAGGTATCTGAGAAACCACTTTGTGATTTGTGCATTCTTCTCACAGAGGTAAACTTTCATTCCATTCAGCACTTTGGAAACACTGTTTTGGTAGAATCTGTGAAGGGATATTTGGAAATGAATTGAGGCCTATGGTGAAAAAGTAATATCTTCAGAAAAATACTAGAAAGAAGCTTTCTGTGACACTACTTTTTGATATATGCATTCATCTCATAGAGTTAAACCTTTCTTTGAATTCAGCAGCTTGAAAACACTGTGTTTGTAAAATCCATGAAGGGATTTTTGGAGCTCATTGAGGCCATAGTCGAAAAAGTGTTTATCCCCAGATAAAAACTAGAATGAAGCTATCTGAGAAACTTCTTTTTGATGTGTGCATTCACTTCGCAGAGTTAAACATTGATTTTCATTCAGCAGTTTCAAAACACGATTTTGGTAGAATCTGTGAAGGGATATTTTGGAGTGCATTGAGGCCTATTGTGTAAAGAGAAATATCTTTGGATAAAACCAAGAAAGAAGCTTTCTGAGAAACTGCTTTGTGATGTATGAATTCATCCCTCAGATTTAAAATTTTCTTTGAATTCAGCAGTTTGGATACACTGTTTTTGTCCATTCTGTTAATTGACATTTAATATCTCATTGAAGCCAATGGCAAAAAAGTGAATTTACAAGGATAAAAACTAGAAGACAGCTATCTGAGAAACCGATTTGTCATGTATGCATTTATCTCACAGAGATAAACCATTCCTTTCATTCTGTAGTTTGGTAACACTGTTTTGTTAGAATCTGTGAAGGGATATTTGGGAGCTCAATGAGGCCTAGGGTGAACAAGGAAACATCTTCAGATACATACTACAAGGAAGCTTTCTGACAAGCTGATTATTTATGTGTGCATTCATCTCTCAGAGTTAAACTTTTCTTTGGATTCAGCAGTTTGGAAACACTGTTTTTGTAGAATCTGCGAAGGAGTAGTTGGGAGCTCATTGAGGCCAAAGGTGAAAAAGTGACTATCCCAGGATAAAAACTGGAAGGAAGCTTTCTGAGAGGCCACTTTGTGACGTGTGCATTCATCTCACAGAGATAAACATTTCTTTTGATTCAGTAGTTTGGAAACACTGTTTTGGTAGAATCTGGGAAGGGATATTTGGGATTACATTGATGCCTATGGTGAAAAAGGAAATATCTTCAGATGAAAACTAGAAAGAAGCTTTCAGAGAAACTGCTTTATGATGTGTGAATTTATCTCAAAAAATTAAATTTTTCTTTGGATTCATCAGTTTGGAAAAAACGTTTTTGTCCCTTATGCGAATGGACATTTGGGAGCTCCTTGAAACTAATGGCAAAAAAGCAAATATTGCAAAATAAAAACTAGAAAGAAGCTGTTTGAGAACTGGCTTTGTGATATGTGCATTCCTCTGACAGAGTTAAACCACGACTTTCATTAGGTAGTTTGGAAATGCTGTTTTTGGAGAATCTGTGAAATAATATTTAGGATCACATTGAGGCCCATGGTGAAAAAGGAAATATCTTCAGATAAAAACTAGAAAGAAGCTTTCTGAGAAACTGCTTTGTGATGTGTGCATTCATCTGACAGATGTAAACTTTTCTTTGGATTCAGCAGTTTGCAAAAACTGGATTCAGCCGTTTTTGTCCATTCTACAAATGGACATATGGGAGTACATTAAGGCTAATGGCATAAAAGCGAATATCCCACGATAAAAACTAGAATAAAACTACCTGAGAAACTGCTTCATGACGTATGCATTCATCTTGCAGACTTAAGCCTTTCTTTTTATTCAGCAGTTTGGAAACAATGCTTTTTATTTTTTTTTTTAGAATCTGTGAAGGGATATTTGGGAGCTCGTTAAGGCCAAAGGTGAAAAAGTAAATATTCTAGTATAAAAAGTAGAAGGAAGCTATCTGAGAAACCCCTTTGTGATGTGTACATTTATCTCACAGAGTTAAACCTTTCTTTTCATTCAGCAGTTTGGAAACACTGTTTTTGTAGTATCTGCCAAGGGATATTTGGGAACGCATTGAGTCCTATGATGAAAAAGGAAATATCTTCATATAAAAACTAGAAAGAAGCTTTCTGCAAAATTGCTTTGCGATGTGTGCATTCATCTCACAGAGTTAAACTTTTCTTGGGATTCATCAGTTTGGAAACACTGTTTTTGTAGCACCTGCAAAAGGATATTTGATAGCTCATTGAGACCAGAGCTGAAAAAGTGAATATCCCAGGATAAATACTAGAAGGAAGCTATCTGAGAAACTGCTATGTTATGTGTGCATTCACCTCACAAATTTAAACTCTTATTTTCATTCAGAAGTTTCGAAAAAGTGTTTTGGTAGCAACTGCGAAGGGATATTTGGGAGTCCTTTGAGGCCTATGGTGAAAAAGGAAATATCTTCAGAAAAAACTAGAAAGAAGCTTTCTAAGAAACTGCTTTGTGATGTGTGCATTCATCTCACAGAGTTAAAACTTTTTTGGGATTCAGCAGTTTGGAAACACTATTTTTGTTGTATCTGTGAAAAGATATTTGATAGATCATTGAGGCCATATTTGAAAAAGTGAATATCCCACAACAAAAACTAGAAGGAAGCTATCCTAGAAACTGCTTTGTTACGTGTGCATTCATCTTGCAGAATTAAAATCTTCTTTTCATTTAGCAGTTTAGACAATGTGTTTTGGTAGCAACTGCAAAAGGACATTTGGGAGCACATTGAGGCCTATGGTGAAAAAGGAAATGTCTTCAGAAAAAAACTAGAAAGAAGCTTTCTGAGAAACTGCTTTGTGAGTTGTAGATTGATCTCACAGAGTTCAGCTTTTCTTTTCATTCAGCAGTTTGGAAACATTTTTGATACAATCTACAAAGGGATATTTGGGAGTGAATTGAGGCCTACAGTGAAATAGGAAATATCTTCAGATAAAAACTAGAAAGAAGATCTCTGAGAAACTGCTTTTTGATGTGTCCATTCACCTCACTGTTAATACCTTTCTTTGGATTCAGCAATTTGGAATCACTGTTTTTGTAAAGTGTGCAATAGGATATTTGGGAGCTCTTTGAGGCCAATGGCAAAAAAGGAAATATCCCAGGATAAAAACTGGAAGGATGCTATCTAAAAAACTGCTTTGTGAAGTATGCCTTCATCTCGTAGAGTTATACCTTTCTATTCATTCAGCTGTTTGGACACACTGTTTTGTTAGAATATGCGAGGGAATATTTTGGAACACATTGAGGCATATGGAGTTAAAGGAATTATCTTCAGATAAGAACTAGAAAGAAGTTTTCTGAGAAACTGCTTTGTGATGTGTGCATTCATCTCACAGAGTTAAACATTTCTTGGATTCAGTGCTTTGGAAACTCTGCTTTTGTCCTTTCTGTGAATGGACATTTGGGAGTTCATTGAGGCCAATGACGAAAAAGGAAATATCCCAGGATTAAAACTAGAAGTAAGTTATCTGAAAAAACTTCTTTCTGATGTGTGCCTTCTTCTCAGAGAATTATACCTTTCTTTTCATTCAGTAGTTTGGAAACACTATTTTGGTAGAATATGTGAAGGGATATTTGTGAGTGCATTGAGGCCTATGGTGTTAAAGGAAATAGCTTCAGATAAAAACTAGAAAGAAACTTTCGGATAAACTGCTTTGTGATGTGTGCATTCATCTCACACAGTTAAACCTTTCTTTGGTTTCAGCAGTTGTGAAACACTATTTTTGTAGAATCTCTGAGGGAATATTTAGAACTTCATTGAGGTAAGGTGAAAAAGTGAATATCTCAGGTTAAAAACTGGAAGGAAGCTATCCGAGAAACCGCTTTGTGATATGTGCTTTCATCTCTCAGAGTTAAACCTTTGTTTTCATTCCACAGTGTAAACACTGTTTTGGTATAATCTGCAAAGGGCTATTTGGGAGCGCATTGAGGCCTATGGTGAAAATGGAAATATCCTCAGATAAAAAGTAGAAAGAAGGTTTCTATGAAACTGCTCTGTGATATGCACATTCATCTCACAGAGTTAAAAGTGTCTTTCAAGTCAGCAGTTTGGAAACACTGTTTTGTCCATTTTGCAAAGGGACCTTTTGGAGCTTATTGAGGCCAATGGTGAAAAAGCATGTATACCAGGATAAAAACTAGAAGGAAGTTATCTGAGAAACCACTTTGTGATATGTGCATTCATCTCTCAGAGCTAAAACTTTCTTTTCAGTCAGTAGTTTGGAAACACCATTTTGGTAAAATCTGAGAAGGGATATTTGGGAGAGCATTTGGCCAATGGTGAAAAAGTGAATATCACAGGATAAAAATTGGATGAGACCTATCTGAGAAACAACTTTGTGACGTGGGGATTTCTCTAGCATAGTTGAAAGTTTCTTTTCTTTTTTTCATTATACTGTAAGTTCTAGGGCACATGTGCACAATGTGCAGTTTTCTTACATATGTATACATGTGCCATGTTGGTATGCTGCACCCATTAACTCATCATTTAACATTAGGTATATCTCCTAATACTATCCCTCCCCCCTCCCCTGACCCTACAGCAGGCCCTGGTTTGTGATGTTCTCCACCCTGTGTCCAAGTGTTCTCATTGTTCAATTCCCACCTGTGAATGAGAACATGTGGTGTTGGGTTTTCTGTCCTTGTGATAGTTTGCTCAGAATGATGGTTTCCAGCATCATCCATGTTCCTACAAAGGACATGAATTCATCATTTTTCATGGCTGCATAGTATTCTGTGGTGTATATGTGTCACATTTTCTTAATCCAGCCTATCATTGATGGACATTTGGGTTGGTTCTAAGTCTTTGCTATTGTGAATAGTGCCACAGTAAACATATGTGTGCATGTGTCTTGATAGCAGCATGATTTATAAACATTTGAGTACATACCCAGTAATGGGATGACTGGCTCAAATGGTATTTCTATTTCTAGATCCTTGAGGAATCGCCACACTGTCTTCCACAGTGGTTGAACTAGTTTACAGTCCTACCAACAGTGTAAAAGTGTTCCTGTTTCTCCACATCCTCTCCAGCACCTATTGTTTCCTGACATTATAATGATTGCCATTCTAACTGGTGTGAGATGGTATGTCATTGTGGTTTTGATTTGCATTTCTCTGATGACCAGAGATGAGGAGCATTTTTTTATGTGTCTTTTGGCTGCATAAATGTTTTCTTTTGAGAGGTGTCTGTTCATATACTTCATCTACTTTTTGATGAGGTGGTTTGATTTTTTTATTATTATACTTTAAGTTTTAGGGTACATGTGCACAATGTGCAGTTTTGTTACATATGTACACATGTGCCATGTTGGTGCGCTGCACCCATCAAATCTTCATTTAACATTAGGTAGGTCTCATAATGTTATCCCTCCCCCTTCCCCCCACTCCACAACAGACCCTGGTGTGTGATGTTCCCCTTCATGTGTCCATGTGTTCTCATTGTTCAATTCCCACCTATGAGTAAGAACATGTGGTGTTTGGTTTTTTGTCCTTGTGATAGTTTGCTGAGCATGATGGCTTCCAGCTTCATCCATGTCCCTACAAAGGACATGAACTCATCATTTTTTATGGCTGCATAGCACTCCATGGTGTATATGTGCCACATTTTCTTAATCCAGTCTATCATTGTTGCACATTTGAGTTGGTTCCAAGTCTCTGTTATTGTGAATAGTGCCACAATAAACATATGATTGTGTGAGTCTTTACAGAAGCATGATTTATAATCCTTTGGGCATATACCCAGTAATGGGAATGCTGGGTCAAATGATATTTCTAGTTCTAGATCCCTGAGGAATCCATTTGGAAAACATGTCTTGGTAGAAACTGCAAAGGGCTATTTGGGAGTGCATTGAGGCCTATGGTGAAAAAAGAAATATCCTCAGATAAAAACAAGAAAGAAGCTTTCTCAGAAACTGTTTTGCAATATGTGCACTCATCTCTTAGTGTTAAACATTTCTTTAGATTCAGCCATTTGGAAACACTGTTCTTCTCCATTCTGAGAATGGACATCAGGCAGTTCATTGAGGCTAATGACTAAAAAGCAAATTTCCCAGGTTAAAAAGTAGAATAAAGCTATGTGAGAAACTGCTTTGTGATGTGTGCATTAATCTCACTGAGGTAAAATGTCCTATTCATTCAGCAGTTTGGAAGCACTGTTTTGGTAGAATATCTCAAGGTATATTTTGGAGCGCATTGAGGTCTATGGTGAAAAAGGAAATATATTCAGATAAAAACTAGAAGGAAGCTTTCCGAGAACCTATTTTCTGATGTGTGCGTTCATCTCACAGGGGTCAATATTTCTTTTGATTCAGCAGTTTGGAAACACTGTTTTTGTAGTATCTGCAAATGATTTTTGGGAACTCATTGAGGCCAAAGTGAAAAAGTGAGCATCCCAGGATAAAAACTAGATGGAAGCTATCTGAGTAACCACTTTGTGAGGTGTGCATTTATCTCACAGATGTAAAACTTTCTTTTTCATTCAGCCTTTTGGAAACCCTGCTTTAGAAGAATTTGCAAAGGCGTATTTGGGAGCTCATTGTGGCCTATGGTGAAAAAGGAAATATCTCCAGATAAAAACCCTAAAGAGTCTTTCTGAGAAACTTCTTTGTGATGTGTGCATTCACCTCATAGAGTTAAACATTTCTTTCCATTCAGAACTTCACAAACCCTGCTTTTGTCCATTCTGTGACTGGGCATTTGGGAGCTCACTGAGGCCAATGGGAAAAAAGAGAACATCCCAAGAAAAAAACCTGGAAGGAAGCTATCTGAGAAACTGCTTTGCAATGGGTGCATTCATTTCAGAAAGTTAAACTTTTCTTTTCATTCTGCAGTTTCGAAACACTGTTTTTGAAGAATCTGCAAAGGGCTATTTGGGAGCTCATTGAGGCCAAAGGTGAAAAAGTGAATATCCCAGGATAAAAACTGGAATGAAACTATCAGAGAAAACCCTATGTGATGTGTGCATTCATCTCACAGATATAAACATTTCTTTTCATTCAGCTGTTTGGAAACACTGTTTTTGGCGAATCTGCAAAGGGATATTTGGGAGCGTATTTAGGCCTTTGGTGAAAAAGGAAATATCTTCAGATAAAAACTTCAGAGAAGCTTTCTGAGAAACTGCTTTGTGATGTGTGCATTCATCTCACAGGGCTAAACATTTCTTTGGATTCAGCAGTATGGAAACACTGTTTTTGTAGAATGTGTGAAAGGATGCTTTGGAGCTCATGAGGCCAAACCCAAAAAGGCAAATAAGCCAGGATAAAAAATAGAAGGAAGCCATCTGATAAACCGCTTTGTGATGTATGCATTAATCTCACAGATTTAAAACTTTCTTTTCATTCAACAGTTTGAAAATACTGTTTTGGTACAATCTGTGAAGGGATATTTGGGAGCACTTTGAGGCCTATGGTGAAAAAGCAAATATCTTTAGATAAGAACTAGGAAGAAGCTTTCTGAGAAACTGTTTTGTGATGTGTGCATTCATCTCACAGAGTTAAATCTTTATTTGGATTCAGCAGTTTGGAAACACTGTTTTTGTAGAATATGTGAAGGGATGTTTTGCAGCTCATTGAGGCCAAATGCGAAAAAGTGAATATCCCATGATAAAAACTAGAAGGAAGCTATCTGAGAAGCCGCTTTGTGATGTGCGCATTCATGTCACCGAATTAAACCTTTCTTTTCATTCTTCAGATTGCATAGGCTGTTTTGGTAGAATCTGTGAGGGGATATATGGGAGAGCATTGAGGCTTATGGTAAAAGAGGAAATATCTTCAGATAAAAACTAGGAAGAAGCTTTCTGAGAAACTGCTCTGTGATGTGTGCATTCATCTCTCAGGGTTAAACTTTTCTTTGAATTCATCTATTTGGAAACTCTGTTTTTGTCCATTCTGGAAGTGGACGTTTGGGAGCTCAATGGGTCCAATGGAAAAAAGAGAATATCCCAGGATAAAAACTAGAAGGATGCTATCTGATAATCCACTTTGAATGTGTGTATTAATATCACAGAGATAAACCTTTCTTTCATTAAGCAGTTTGGAAACACTGCTTTGGAAGAATCTGCGAAGGAGTATTTGGGAGCACATTGAGGCCAAAGGGGAATAATAAAATATGCCATGATTAAAACTAGAAGGAAGCTATATGAGAAATCATTTCATGATATGTGGATTCATATCAGATAATTAAACCTTTCTTTTCATTCAGTAGTTTGAAAACACTCTTTTGGCAGAATCTACAAAGGGATATTTGGGAGTGCATTGAGGCCAGTGGTGAAAAAGGAAATATCTTCAGCTAAAAACTAGAAAGAAGTTTTCTGAGAAACTGCTTTGTGAAGTGTGCATTCATCTTACAGAGCTAAATCTCTCTTTGGATTCAGCAGTTTAGAAACACTGTTTCTGTGGAATCCGCAAAGAGATATTTGGGAGTTCATTGATGCCGAAGGTGAAAAAAGTGAATATCCCAGGATAAAAATTAGAACAAAGCAATCTGAGAGACTGATTTGTGATGTGTGCATTCATCCCACAGAGTTAAAACTTCCTTTTCATTCACGAGTTTGTAAACACTGTTTTGGTAGAAACTGAGAAGGGATATATGGGACCACATTGAGTCCTACTGTTAAAAAGGAAATATATTCATGTAAAAACTAGGAAGAAATTTTCTGAGAAACTACTCTGTGATGTGTGCATTTATGTCACAGAGTTAAACTTTCTTTGAATTCAGCAGTTTGGAAACACTGTTTTTGTCCATTCTGCAAATGGACTTCTGGGAGCTCACTGAGAACAATGGTGAAAACCGAATATCTCAGGTTAAAAACTAGAAGGAAGTTATCTGAGAAACCGATTTGCAATGTATGCATTCATCTCAAAGAGATAAACCTTTCTTCTCACTCAGCAGTTTGTTAACACTGTTTTGTAGAATCTGTGAAGGGATATTTGGGAGCACATTTTGCCCAAGGGCAAAAAACTGAATATCCCATGATAAAAACTAGAAGGAAGTTATCTGAGAAACCACTTTGTGACATGTGGATTCATCTCTCAGAGTTAAAACTTTCTTTTCATTCAGTAGTTTGGAAATACTGTTTTGGGAGAATATGTGGAAGGATATTTTGGAGTGCATTCAGGCCTGTGGTGGAAAACTAAGTATCGTCAGAGAAAAACTAGAAAGAAGCAATCTGAGAAACTGCTTTGTGAGGTAGGCATTCATCTTACAGAGTTAAACTTTTCTTTGGATTCAAGAGTTTGGAAACACAGTTTTTCTAAAATTTTCAAAGGGATACTTGATAGCTCATTGAGGCCAATCAAGAAAAAGAGAAGAGTCAAAGAAAAAAACAAGAAGAAAGCTATCTGAGAATCCACTTTGTGATGTGTGCATTCACCTCACAGAGTTTAACCTATGTTTTCTTTCAGAACTTTGGAAACCTTGTTTTTTAGAATATGACAAAGGATATTTCGGAGTGCTAAATATCATCAGATACAAAACCAGAAACAAGCTTTGTGAGAAACTGCTTTCCAATGTGTGCATTCATCTCACAGTGTTAAACATTTCTTTTAATTCAACAGTTAGGAAACACAGTTTTTGTCCATTCTGTGAATGGACATTTCGGAGCTCATTGAGGCCAATGACAAAAAAGCAAATATCCCAGGATAAAAACTAGAAGGAAGCTATCTGAGAAACGGATTTGTGATGTGTGCATTCACCTCACAGAAGTAAACCTTTTTTTTCCTTCAGTTATTTGGAAACACTATTTTTGTTGAATCTGCAAGGGGATAATGGAAGGGCTTTGAGGTCTATGGTGAAAAATAAATATCTTCACATAAAAACTAGAAAGAAGCTGTCTGTGAAACTGCTTTTTGATGTGTGCATTCGTCTCACAGAATGAAACCTTTCTTTGAATTCCAAAAACAGTTGTTTGGAAACACTGTTTTTGTCCATTCTGCAAATGGACATTTGGGAGCTCATTGAAACCAAAAGTGAAAAAGTGAATATCCAAGGATAAAAACCAGAAGGAAACTATCTGAGAAACCACTTTGTGATGTGTGCATTCATCTCACAGGTTTAAACCTTTCTTTTCATTCAGCAGTTTGGAAACACTGTTTTTTTTTAGAATCTGTGAAGGGATATTTGGGAGCACATTGTGACCTATGGTGAAAAAGGAAATATCTTCAGATAAAAACTAGAAAGAAGCTTTCTGAGAAACTTCTTTGTGATGTGTGCATTCATATCACAGTGTGTAATCTCTCTTTTAATTCAGCAGTTTGGAAACTCTGCTTTTGTAGAATCTGTGAAAGGCATTTGTAATCTCATTGAGGTCAATGGAGAAAAAGTGAATATGCCAGGATAAAAACTAGAAGAAAATTATCTGTGAAACTGGTTTGTGATGCTTTCATTCATTTTGCAAATTTAAACATTTCTTTTCATTCAGTATTTTGGAAACACTGTTTTTGTAGAATCTGTGAAGAAATATTTGGGCGTGCATTGAGGCCTATGCTGAAAAAGAAAATATCCTCAGTTAACAACTAGAAAGAAGCTTTTTGAGAAACTGCTTTGTGATTTGTGCATTCATCTCACAAAGTTATAACTTTCTTTGATTCAGCATGTTGGAAACACTGTTTTTGTCCATTCTGCGAATGGACATTTGGGAGCTCATTTATACTAATAGCAAAAAAGGGAATGTCTCAGGATAAAATGTAGAAGAAATCTGACAAACTGCTTGTTAGAAACAAGCGGCTTGGAAACACAATTTTTTAAAATCTGCGAAGAGATATATGGAAGTGCTTGGAGGCCTGTGGTGAAAAATATAATATCTTCAGATGAAAACTAGATAGAAGCTGTCAGAAACTGCTTTGTGCTGTGTGCATTCATCTCACTGGGTTAAAGATTTCTTTGGATTCAGCACTTTGGAAACACTGTTTTTGTAGAATCTGCAAAGGGATATTTGTGAGCTCATTGAGGCCAAAGGCGAAAAAGTGAATATCCCAAAATAAAAACTATAAGGAAGCTATCTGAGAAACCACTTTGCTATGTGTGCATTAATCTCACAGACTTAAGACTTTCTTTCCATTCAGTAGTTTGGAAACACTGTTTTTGTAGAATCTGCAAGGGGATTTTCAGGAACTCATTGGTGGCAATGGCAAAAAATCCAGTATCCCAGGGTAAAAACTAGAATAAGCTATGTGAGTCACCACTTTGTGAAGTGTACATTCATCTTGCATAGTTAAAAGTTTCTATTCTTACAGCAGTTTGGAAACACACTTTGGCAGAAACTGCGAATTGATATTTTGGGATGTATTGAGTCTTATGGTGAAAAAGAAAGTAAGTTCATATAAATACCAGAAAGAAGCATTCTGAGTAACTGCTTTGGTATGTGTGCTTTCATGTCACAGAGTTAAACATTTTTTTAGATACAGCATTTTGGAAACACTGTTTCTGTCCATTCTACAAATGGAAATTTAGCAGCACATAGAGGCCTGTGGTGAAAAAGTGAATATCCCAGGATAAAAACTAGAAGGAACATATCTGAGAAACTGCATTGTGATGTGTGCATTCATCTCGCCGAAGTAAAGCTTCCTTTTCATTCAGCAGTTTCAAAACACTGTTTTTGTATAATCTGCAAGGGGATATTGGGGGGTGCATTGAGGCCTATGGTGAAAAAGAAAATAATTCCAGTAAAAAACAACAAAGAATCTTTCTGAGAAACTGCTTGGTGATGTGTACATTCATCTCACAGAGTTAAACATTTCTTTGGGTTCAGCACTATGGAAACACTGATTTTGTAGAATTTGTGAAGAGGTATTTGGGAGCTCATTGAGGCCAAGGGCAAAAAAGCGAATATCCCAGGATAAAAACTAGAAGGAAGCTATCTGAGAAACTGCTTGGTTATGTGTGTATTCATCTCACAGAGTTAAACTTTCTTTTCATTCGTCAGGTTGAAAACACTGTATTGTAAAATCCATGAAGGGGTATTTGGGAGCCTATTGATGCTTATGGTGAAAAAGCAAATCTCTTGAGATAAAAATCAGAAAGAATCTTTCTGAGAAACTTCTTTGTGATGTGTGCATTCGTCACACAGAGTTAAACCTTTCTTTGTATTCAGCTGTATAGAAACAATGTTTTTGTCCATTCTGTGAATGAACATTTGGGAGCTCATTGAGGTCAATGGTGAAAAAGTGATTATCTCTATAAAAAACTAGAAATAAGCTATCTGAGAAACCACTTAGTGAAGTGTGCAATATTCGAGTAGAGTTTAACCTTATTTTTCATTCATCAGTTTGGAAACACAGTTTAGATAGAATCTGCAAATTTATATTTGGGAGCGCATTGAGGCCTATGGTGAAAAAGGAAGTATCTTCAGATAAAAATAAGAAAAAAACCTTTCTAAGAATCTACTTTATGAAGTGCACATTAATCTCACACAGCTCAATCTTTCTTTTGATTTGGCTGTTTGGAAATGGTTTTTGTCCGTTCTGTGATTGGACATTTGGGAGGTGATTGAGGCCAATGGAGAAAAAGTGAATATCCAAGAAATAAAACTAGAAGGAAGCTATCTGAGAAACCACTTTCTGATGTGAGCATTCATCTCATAGAGGAAAACGTTTCTTTTCAATCAGCAGTTTGGAAACACTGTTTGATAGAGTCTGCAAAAGTATATTTGGGAGACCATTGAGGCCAATGGTGAAAAAGGAAAATCTTCAGATAAAAACTAGAAAGAAGCTCTCTGAGAAAGTTCTTTGTGACGTGTGCATTCATCTCACAGAGGTCAACCATTTTTTGCATTCAGCAGTTTGGAAACACTGTTTTTGTACAATCTGTGAAGGGATATTTGGGAGCTCATTGAGGCTAAAGGTGAAAAAGTGAATATCGCAAGACAAAAATTAGAAGGAATCTATCTGAGAAACCGCTTGCTTATGTGTACATTCATCTCACAGAGTTAATCCTGTCTTTTCATTTGGTAGTTTGGAAACACTGTTTTCATAGAATCTGCAATGGGGTATTTGGGAGCTCACTGAGGACTAAGGTGAAAATGGAAGTACCTTGAGATAAAATCTACAAGGAAGCTTTCTGATAAACTGCTTTGTGATGTCTGCATTCATCTCACAGAGTTAAATATTTCTTTGAAATCAGCAGTTTAGGAACACTGTTTTTGTCCCTTCTGTGAATGGAAATTTGGGAACTCATTGAGGCCAATGGTGCAAAAGTGAATATCCCAGGATCAAAACTAGAAGGAAGCTATTTCAGAAACTGCTTTGTGATGTTTGCATTTGTCTCACAAAGTTAAACCTTTCTTTTTATTCAGGAGTTTGGAAGCACTGTTTTTGTAGAATCTGTAAACCATATCTCTGTGCAAATTGATGCCTATTTTGAAACAGGAAATATCTTCAGTTAAAAACTAGAAAGAAGCTTTCTGAGAAATTACATTGTGATTTGTGCATTCATCTCACAAACTTAAAACTTTCTTTAGATTCAGCAGTTTGGAAACACTGATTTTTTGAGAAACTGTGAAGGGATATTTCGGAGTTCATTGAGGCCAAATGTAAAAAAGCTAATATCCTGCAATGAGAACTAGAAGGAATCTCTGAGAAACTGCTTTGTTATGTGTGTATTCATCTCTCAGAGTTAAACATTACCTTTCATTCAGCGGTTTGCAAACACTGTTTTTCTAGAATCTGCAAAAGGCTGTTTGTGAGCCCAGTGAGGCCTATGGAGAAAAAGGAAGTATCTTCCGGTAAAAACTTGAAAGAAGCTTTCTGAGAAACTGCTTTGTGATTTTTGCTTTCATCTCACAGAGTTGAAACTTTCTTTGGATTCAGCAGTTTGGAAACACTTTTTTGTCCTTTCTGTGAATGGACTTTTGAGAGATCTTTGAAGGCTATATCGAAAAAGTGAATAATCCAGGATAAAAACTAGAAGGAAGCTCTCTGAGAAACAACTTTGTGATGTGTAAATTCATCTCACAGAGTTAAACATTTCTTTTCATCCTGCAGTTAGGAAACACTGTTGTTATAGAATCTGCGAAGGGATATTTGGGAGTGCATTGAGGCCTATGGTGTAAAGGAAATATCTTCAGATAAAAACTAGAAAGAAGCTTTCTGAGAAACTACTTTGACATGTGTGAATTCATCTCACAGAGTTAAAACTTTCTTTGGATTCAGCAGTTTGGAAATACTGTTTTTGTAGAATCTGCAAAGGGAATTTCTGAGGTCATTGAGGCCAAAGGTGAAAAAGTGAATGTGCCAGGATAAAAACTAGAAGGAAGCTCTCTGAGAAACTGCTTTGTGATGCTTTCATTCATCTCACAAAGTTAAACGTTTCTTTTCATTCAGCATTTTGGAAACACCGTTTTTGTAGAATCCGTGAAGGAATATTTGGGCATATATTGAGGCCTCTGGTGAAAAAGAAAATATCTTCAGTTGAAAACTAGAAAGAAGCTTTCTGAGAAAGTGCTTTGTGATTTTTACATTCATTTGACAAAGTTAAACTTTCTTTGAATTCAGCAGTTTGGAAACACTGTTTTTGTCCATTCTATGAATGGACTTTTGGGAGCTCATTGAAACCAATGGTGAAAACCAAATATCCCAGGAAAATATTTAGAAGAAATATATCTGACAAAGTGCTTTGTGATGTGTGGATTTTTTTCACATGGTTAAACTTGTTTTTCATTCAGCAGTTTGCAAACACTGGTTTTTAAAAATCTGTGAAGGGATATATGTGGGTGCTTTGAGGCCTGTGGTGAAAAAGGAAATGTCTTTAGAGGAAAACTAGATAGAAGCTTTCTGAGAAACTGCTTTGGGTGTGTGCATTTGTTTCACAGAGTTAAACATTTCTTTGTGTTCACCAGTTTGGAAACACTGTTGTGGGATATTTGGGAGCTCATTGAGGGCAAAAGCAAAAAAGTGAATATGATAGCCTCAAAACAAGAAGAAAGCTATCTGAGAAACCTCTGTGTCATGTGTGCCTTCATCTCTCAAGGTTAAAACTTTCTTTTCATTCAGCAGCTTTGAAACACTGTTTTGGAAACACCATTTCCAAACTGCTTAATCCACAAAAAAGTTGAAGTCTATATGAGATAAACACACACATCACAAAGCAGTTTCTCAGAAAGCATCTTTCTAGTTTTTATCTGAAGATATTTCCTTTATCACCATAAGCCTCAATGTGCTCCCAAATATCACTTCACAGATTCTGCCAAAACAGTGTTTCCAGACTGCTGAATGAAAAGAGAAGATTAACTCTGCAGGGTGAATAAACACATCACAAAGTGGTTTCTCAGAGAGGTTTTCTCTAGTTTTCATCCTGGGATAATCACTTTTTTGCCATTGGCCTCAACGAGTTCCAAAATGTCCATTCGCAGAAAGGACAAAAAACAGTGTTTCCAAACTGCTGAATCCAAAGATGGTTTAACTCTTTGAGATGAATGCATACATCACACAGCAGTTTCTCAGAAAGCTTTTTCTAGTTTTTATCTGAAGATATTTCTTTTGTCAACATAAAACTCAATGCACTTCCAAAAATAACTTCACAGTTTCTACAAAAACTGTGTTTCTAAAATGCTGAATGTAAAGAAAGGTTTAATTCTGACAGATGAATGTACACATCACAAAGCAGTTTCTCAGATAACTTCTTTCTAAATTTTTTTCCTGTGATATTTGATTTTTTGCCTTTGGCATCAATGAGATCTGAAATATCCCTTTGCAGATTCTACACCAACAGTGTTTCCAAACTGTTCACTCCAAAAAATGGTTTAACTCTGGGAGATGAATGCACACATCACAAAGCAGTTTCTCAGAAAGCTTCTTTCTTATTTTTATCTGAAGATATTTCCTTTTTCACAATAGGCCTCAATGCACTCCCAAATAACCCTTTATGGATTCTGCCAAAACAGTGTTTCCAGACTGCTGAATGAAAAAAGAGTGTTAACTCTGTGAGGTGAATGCACACATCACAGAGTGGTTTCTCAGATAGCTTCCTTCTAGTTTTTATCCTGAGATATTCACTTTTTCACCTTTGGCTCAATGAACTCCCAAATACCCATTTGCAGATTTTACTAAAAGAGTATTTCCAACTGCTGAATGAAAGGAAACATTTAACTGGGAGATGAATGCACACACCACAAAGTGGTTTCTCTGATATGTTTTTCTAGTTTTCATCCTGAGATATTCCCCTTTTCTAAGTTGGAATAAGGGATATCCCAAAAGTCCATTTGCAGAAAGGACAATAACAGTGGTTCCAAACTATTGAATCCAAAGAAAGGTTTAACTCTGTGAGGTGAATGCACAAATCCCAAAGTAGTTTCTCAGAAAGATGCTTGCTAGCATTGAAGATACATCGTTTTTCTCCGTAGGTCTCAGTGGGCTTCATAAAGCAGTTTCTCGGATAGATTTCTTCTAGTTTTTATCATGGGATATTTGCTTTTTCGCTGTTGGCCTCAATTACCTCACAAATGTCCATTCGCAGAATGGACAAAACAGTGTTTCCAAACTCTGAATCCAAAGAAATGTATAACTCTGTGAGATGAATACACACACCACAGAGCAGTTTCTCAGAAAATTCTTTCTAGTTTTTATCTGAATATGTTTCCTTTTTACCATTGGCTTCAATGCACTCCCAAATATAACTTTGCAGATTCTACAAAAACAGTGTTTTCAAACAGCTCAATGAAAGGAAATGTTTAACTCTGCAAGATGAATGCAGACATCACAAAGCAGTTTCTCACAAAGTTTATTCCTAGTATTTATCTGAAGATGTTTTCTTTTTCACCATAGGCCTTGATACACTCCCAAATATCCCTTCGAACATTCTACAAAGATAGTGTTTCAAACTGCTGAAAGAAAAGACAGGTTTACTTATGATAGATGAGTGTACACATCACATAGTGGCTTCCAAGACAGGTTCCTTCTCCTTTTTATTCTAGGATATTCACTTTTTTGCCATTTTCCTCAATGAGCTCCCAAATGCCCATTTGCAGAATGGACAAAAACAGTATTTCCAAACAGCTGAATACAAAGAAAGTTTTTATTCTGTGAGATGAATACCCACATTAAAAAGCAGTTTCTCTGAAAGCTTCTTTCCTGTTTTTATCTCAAGATGTCTAGATTTTCACAATAGGTCTCAATGTGCTCCGAAATATCCCTTCACAGATTCTTCAAAATCAGTTTTTCTAAACGGCTGAATGAAAGAAAGGTTTAACTCTGTGAGTTGAAAGCATAAATCACAAAGTAGTTTCTCAGAGAGCTTCTTTCTAGTTTTTATCTGAACTTGTTTCCATTTTCACCATAGGCCTTAACGTGAAACCAATTATCCATTAGCAGATTCTACAAAAACATTCTTTCCAACTTGCTGAAGGAAAAGAAAATTTTAACTCTGAGATAAATGCACACATCACAAAGTTGTTTCTCAAATAGCTTCCTTCTAGTATTTCATATGGGTATATTCAATTTTTGCCATTGGCCTCAATGAGCTCCCAAGGTCCATTCCAAGAATGGACAAAAACAGTGTTTCCAATCTGCTGAATCCAAAGAACAGTTTAAGTCTGTGAGATGAATGCACACATCACAAAGCAGTTTCTCAGAAAGCTTTTTTTCTAGTTTTAATCTGAAGATGTTAAATTTTTCAACGTAGGCCTTAATGCACTCCCAAATATAACTTCACAGATTCTACAAAAGCAGTGTTTCCAAACTGCTCAATGTAAAGTAAGTGTTGGTTACTGTAGCCTTGTAGTAGTTTGAAATCAGGTAGCGTGATGCCTCCGGCTTTCTTCTTTTGGCTTAGGATTGACTTGGCGAAGCGGGGTCTTTTTTGGTTCCATATGAAATTTGAAGTAGTTTTTTCCATTTCAGTCAAGAAAGTCATTGGTAGCTTGATGGGGATGGCATTGAATCTATAAATTACCTTGGGCAGTATGGCCATTTTCACGATATTGATTCTTCCTACCCATGAGCATGGAATGTTCTTCCATTTCTTTGTATCCTCTTTTATTTCATTGAGCAGTGGTTTGTAGTTCTCCTTGAAGAGGTCCTTTACATCCCTTGTAAGTCGGATTCCTAGGTATTTTATTCTCTTTGAAGCAATTATGAATGGGAGTTCACTCGTGGTTTGGCTCTCTGTTTGTCTGTTATTGGTGTATGAAAATGCTTGTGATTTTTGTACATTGATTTTGTATCCTGAGACTTTGCTGAAGTTGCTTATCAGTTTAATGAGATTTTGGGCTGAGACAATGGGGTTTTCTAGATGTACAATCATGGCATCTGCAAACAGGGGCAATCTGAATTCCTCTTTTGCTAATTGAATAAACTATATTTCCTTCTCCTGCCTGATTGTCCTGGCCAGAACTTCCAACACTATGTTGAATAGGAGTGGTGTGAGAGGGCATCCCAGTGTTGTGCCAGTTTTCAAAGGGAATGCTTCCAGTTTTTGCCCATTCAGGATGATATTGGCTGTGAGTTTGTCATAGACAGTTCTTATTATTTTGAGATATGTCCCATCAATACCTAATTTATTGAGAGTTTTTAGCATGAAGGTTGTTGAATTTTGTCGAAGGCCTTTTCTGCATCTATTGAGATAATCATGTGGTTTTTGTCTTTGGTTCTGTTTGTATGCTGGATTACATTTATTGATTTGCGTACATTGAACCAGCCTTGCATCCCAGGGATGAAGCCCACTTAATGATGGTGGATAAGCTTTTTGATGTGCAGCTGGATTCGGTTTGCCAGTATTTTATTGAGGATTTTTGCATCAATGTTCATCAAGGATATTGGTCTAAAATTCTCTTTTTTTGTTGTTGTGTCTCTGCCAGGCTTTGGTATCAGGATGATGCTGGCCTCATAAAATGAGATAGGGAGGCTTGCCTCTTTTTCTGTTGATTGGAATAGTTTCAGAAGGAATGGTACCAGTTCCTCCTTGTACCTCTGGTAGAATTCGGCTGTGAATCTATCTGATACTGGACTTTTTTTGGTTGGTAAGCTATTGATTATTGCCACAATTTCAGAGCCTGTTATTGGTCTACTCAGAGATTCAGTTTCTTCCTGGTTTAGCCTTGGGAGGGTGTATGTGTCGAGGAATTCATCCATTTCTTCTAGATTTTCTAATTTATTTGCATAGAGGTGTTTGTAGTATTCTCTGATGGTAGTTTGTATTTCTGTGGGGTTGGTGGTGATATCCCCTTTATCATTTTTTATTGCATCTATTTGATTCTTCTCTCTTTTCTTCTTTATTAGTCTTTTTAGTGGTCTGTCAATTTTGTTGCTCTTTTCAAAAACCAGTTCCTGGATTCATTAATTTTTTGAACGGCTTTTTGTGTCTCTATTTCCTTCAGTTCTGCTCTGATTTTAATTATGTATTGTCTTCTGCTAGCTTTTGAATGTGTTTGCTCTTGCTTTTCTAGTTCTTTTAATTGTGATGTTAGAGTGTCAATTTTGAATCTTTCCTGCTTTCTCTTGTGGGCATTTAGTGCTATAAATTTCTCTCTACACACTTCTTTGAATGTATCCCAGAGATTACTGTATGTTGTGTCTTTGTTCTCGTTGGTTTCAAAGAACATCTTTATTGTGCCTTCATTTTGTTATGTACCCAGTGGTCATTCAGGAGCAGGTTGTTCAGTTTCCATGTAGTTGAGTGGTTTTGAGTGAGTTTCTTAGTACTGAGTTATAGTTTGATTGCACTGTGGTCTGAGAGGCAGTTTGTTATAATTTCTATTCTTTTACATTTGCTGATGAGTGCTTTACTTCCAAGTATGTGGTCAATTTCAGAATAGGTGTGGTGTGGTGCTGAAAAAAGTGTATATTCTGTTGATTTGGGGTGGAGAGTTCTGTAGATGTCTATTAGGTCCACTTGGTGCAGAGCTGAGTTCAATTCCTGGGTATCCTTGTTAACTTTCTGTCTCATTGATCTGTCTATGTTGACAGTGGGGTGTTAAAGTCTCTCGTTATTATTGTGTGGGAGTCTAAGTCTCTTTCTAGGTCTCTAAGGACTTGGTTTATGAATCTGGTTGCTCCTGCATTGGGTGCATATATATTTAGGATAGTTAGCTCTTCTTGTTGAATTGATCCCTTTACCATTATGTAATGGCCTTCTTTGTCTCTTCTGATCTTTGTTGGTTTAAAGTTTGTTTTATGAGAGACTAGGATTGCAACCCCTGCCTTTTTTGTTTTCCATTTGCTTGGTAGATCGTTCTCCATCCCTTTATTTTGAGCCTATATGTTTCTCTGTATGTGAGATGGGTTTCCTGAATGCAGCACACTGATGGGTCTTCACTCTTTATCCAATTTGCCAGTCTGTGTCTTCTAATTGGAGCATTTAGCCAACTTACATTTAAAGTTAATACTCTTATGTGTGTATTTGGTCCTGTCATTATGATGTTAGCTGGTTATTTTGCTCGTTAGTTGATGCAGTTTCTTCCTAGGTACCAATACAGAGGTATAGATCAATGGAACAGAACACAGCCCTCAGAAATAATGCCACATATCAGCAACCATCTGATCTTTGACAAACCTGACAAGAACAAGCAATGGGGAAAGGATTCTCTATTTAATAAATGGTGCTGGGAAAACTGGTTAGCCATATGTAGAAAGCTGAACATGGATCCCTTCATTATGCCTTATACTAAAATTAATTCAAGATGGATTAAAGACTTAAACGTTATACCTAAAACCATAAAAACCCTAGAAGAAAAACTAGGCAATACCATTCAGGACATAAGCATGGGCAAGGACTTCATGTCTAAAACACCAAAAGCAATGGCAACAAAAGCCAAAATTTGCAAATGGAATCTAATGAAGCTAAAGAGCTTCTGCACAGCAAAAGAAACTACCATCAGAATGAACAGGCAACCTATAAAATGGGAGAAAATTTTTTCACAACGTACTCATCTGACAAAGGGCTAATATCTAGAATCTACAATGAGCACAATCAAATTTACAAGAAAAAAAAACAAACAACCACATCAAAAAGTGGGTGAGGCATATGAAGAGACACTTCTCAAAGGAAGACATTTATGCAGCCAGAAAACACATGAAAAAATATTCATCATCACTGGCCATCAGAGAAACGCAAATCAAAACCACAATGAGATACCATCTCACAGCAGTTAGAATGTTGATCATTAAAAAGTCAGGATACAACAGGTGCTGGAGAGAGTGTGGAGAAATAAGATCACTTTTACACGTTGGTGGGACTGTAAACTAGTTCAACCATTGTGGAAGTCAGTATGGTGATTCATCAGGGATCTAGAACTAGAAACACCATTTGACCCAGCCATCCCATTACTGGGTATGTACCCAAAGGATTGTAAATCATGGTTCTATAAAGACACATGCACACATATATTTATTGTGGCACAATTCACAATAGCAAAACTTGGAATCCACCCAAATGTCCAACAATGATAGACTGGGTTAAGAATATATGGCACATATACACAATGGAATACTATGCAGCCATAAAAATTGAAGAGTTCATGTCCTTTGTAGGGACTTGGATGAAACTGGAAACCATAATTCTCAACAAACTACCACAAGGACAAAAAAACCAAAAACCGCATGTTCTCACTCATAGGTGGGAATTGAACAGTGTGAACACATGGACACAGGAAGGGGAACATCACAGTCTGGGGACAGTTGTGGGGTGGGGAGAGGGGGCAGTGATAGCATTAGGAGATATACCTAATGCTGAATGAGGAGTTAATGGGTGCAGCACACCAAAATGGCACATGTATACATATGTAACAAACCTGCACATTGTGCACATTTACCCTAAAACTTGAAGAAGAAGAAGAAGAATAAAATAAAAAAATCAAAAAGGAAAAATTATTAAAACAACTGTTCTTCGAGGAAAAAAAAGAAGATTTTAACTCTGTCAGGTCAATGCACACATCACAAAGCGGTTTCTAAGATAGGTTCCTTTTACTTTGTACCCTGGTATATTCACTTTATTGGCATTGGCCTCAATGAGCTCCCAAATTTCCATTCACAGAATGGACAAAAGCAGTGTATCCACATTTCTGAATCCAAAGAAAGTTTTAACTCTGTGAGTGGAGTGCACAAGTCACAAAGCAGTTTCTCAGAAAACTTCTTTCTAGTTTTTATATGAAGAAATTTAGCTTTTTGCCCTAGGCCTCAATGCACAAATATACCTTCGCAGATTCTGCAAAATCATTGTTTCCAAACTGCTGAATGAAAAGAAGGTTTAACTCTGTGAGATGAATGCATACAAAGTAAAGCAGTTTCTAAGAGAGCTTCCTTCTAGTTTTCAACATTCGATGTTCCCTTTTTCACCATGGGCCTCAATAAGCTCCGAAATATCCATTCACAGAATGAACTAAAACACTTTTTCCAAACTGCTGAATCCAAAGAAAGGTTTAACTCTGTGAGATGAATGCACATATCACAAGGCAATTTTTCAGAAAGCTTATTTCTAATTTTTATCTGAAGATATTTCCTTTTTCTCAGTTGGCATAAATGTGCTCCCAAATGTCCCCTCAAAAATTCTGTAAAAAAGTGTTTACAAACTGCTGAATGAAAAGAATGGGTTAAATCTGTGAGATGAATGCACACATCACAAAACAGTTTCTCAGAGAGATTCCTTCTAGTTTTTATCCTGAGATATTTGCAGAATGGACAAAAACAGTGTTTCCAAACTGCTGAATCCAAAGGAAGGCTTAAGAGTGTGAGATGAATGCACTCATCACAAAGTAGTTTCTCAAAAGTTTTCTTCTAGTTTTTGGCTGAAGATGCTTCTTTTTTCACCATAGACTTCAATGCAATCCGAAATAACTCTTTCTAGATTATACACAACAGTGTTTCCAAACTGCTGAAAGAAAAGAAAGTTTTAAGTCTACGAGATGAATGCACAAAACACAAACCAGTTTCTCAGACAGCTCCCTTCTCGTTTTTATCCTGGAATATTCACAATATGGGAAAAAAACAGTGTTTCCAAACTTCTGAATCCGATGAAAAGTTAAACTCTGTGAGATAAATGCACTCACCACAAAGCAGTTTCTCAAAAAACATTTTTTCTAATTTTTTCTGAAGACATTTTCTTTTGCACCATACACCTCAAAGCACTCCCAAATATCCTTCACAGATTTTAGCAACACAGGGGCTCCAAACTGCTGAATGAAAATAAACGTATAAATATGCTAGATAAATGCACAATCACAAAGGGGTTTCTCTGATAGATTCCTTCTAGTTTTTATCCTGTGGTATTCACTTTTTCACCATTGACCTCAATGAGCTCCCAAATGTACTTTCACAGAATGGACAAAAACATTGTTTCCAAACTGCTAAGCCCAAAGAAATGATTAACTGTGTTAGATGAATACACACATCACAAAGCAGTTTCTCAGAATACTTCTTTCTAGTTTTTAGCTGAATTTATTTCCATTTTCACCAAAGGCCTCAATGCACTCCCAAATATCCCTTTGCAGATTCTACCAAAATAGGGTTTCCAAATGGCTGATTGAAAGGAAAGCTTTAATTCTGCAAGATGAATGCACACATCACAAAGAGGTTTCTTAGATAGCTTCCTTGTAGTTTTCATCCTGGTATATTCTCTTTTTCACATTTTGCCTCAAGAGCTCAAAATATCCCTTTGCAGATTCTACAAAAACAGTGTTTCCAAACTGCTGAATCCACAGAAAGGTTTAACTCTGTGAGATGAATGCACACATCCCAAAGCAGTTCCTCAGAAAGTTTGTTTCTAGTTATTATCTGAAGTTATTTCCTTTTTCACCATAGGTCTCAATGCACTCCCAAATATCCCTTCACAGATTCTACTAAAACAGTGTTTCCAAACAGCTGAATAAAAAGAAAGGTTTAACTCTATGAGATGAATGCACACATCACAAAGCTATTCTCAGAAATCTTCTTTCTAGTTTTTATCTGAAGATATTTCTTTTTTTGCCATTGGCCTCAATGAGCTCCCAAATGGCCCTTCATAGAATGGACAAAAACAGTGTTTGCAAACTGCTAAATTAAAAAGAAAGGTTTAACTCTGTGAGATAAATATGCCTATCAAGAAGAGATTTCTCAGAAAACTTCTTTCTCGTTTTTATCTGAAGACTTTTTTAACCATATGACACAAACCACTTCCAAATATCCCTTAGCACATTCTACAGAAACACTGTTTCCAAACTACTGAATGAAACGAAAGGTTTAACTCTGTGTGATGGATGCAGAAATCACCAACCAGTTTTTCAGAGAGTTTCCTTTTAGTTTTTAGTCACGGATAGTTTCCTTTTAGTTTTTAGGAAACTAAAGTTTCCTTTTAGTTTTTAGTCACTTTTTCACTTATGGCATCAATGAGCTATCAAATAGCCCTTCACATTTTCTACAAAAACAGGGTTTCCAAACTGCTGAATCCAAAGATACTTTTAACTCTGGATGAATGCACACATCGCAAATCAGTCCCAGAAAGCTTATTCTAGTTTTAATCTGAAGATATTTCCTTTTTCACCATAGTCCTCAATATGCTCCCAAATATCCCTTCACAGATTGTACAAAAACAGTGTTTCCAAACTGCTGAATGAAAAGCAAAGTTTGAACTCTGTGAGGTGAATACACACATCTCAAATAAGTTTCTCAGAAAGCTTCGTTCTACTTTTTATCTGAAGATATTTCCTTTTCCAACATAGGCCTGAAAGCATGCTCAAATATCCCTTTGAAGATTTTACCAAAAACTGTGTTTCCAAACTGCTGAATGAAAAGAAATGTTTAACTCTCTGGGATGAAAGCACATATCACAAAGTGGTTTCTCAGATATCTTCCTTCTAGTTTTCATCCTGTGATATTTGCTTTTTTGCCTTTGGACTCAAGGAGTTCCCAAATGTATCTTTGAAGATCCTAAAAAAACAGTGTTTCCAAATTGCTGAATCCAAAGAAATGTTTAACTCTCTGAGAAGAATGCACACATAACAAAGCGATTTCTAAGAAAGGTTCTTTCTAGTTTTTATCTGAAGATATTTCATTTTCATCTTAGGCCTCAAGGTGATCCCAAATATCCCTTCTCAGATTCTACCAAAACAGTGTTTCTAAACTGGTGAATGAAAAGAAAGTTTTTACTCAGAGAGAAGGATGCCCACATCAAAAAATCATTTCTCAGATAGCTTCTTTCTAATTTTTATCCTGGGATATTTGCTTTTTGGACTTTGGCCTCAATGAGCTCCCAAATATGCCTTCACAGATTCTACAACATCACTGTTTCCAAACAGCTGAATGAAAAGAAAGTTTCAACTGTGTGAGGTGAATGCACACATCACAAAGTATTTTCTCACATAGCTTCCTTCTCGATTTTATCCTGGGATACTTGCTTTTTCACTTTTGGTCTAAATGAGCTCCCAAATATCCCATTGCAGATTCTACAAAAACAGAGTTTCCATGCTCCTGAATTCAAAGAAATGCTTAACTCTATGAGATGAATGCATGCATCACAAATCTCTTTCTCAGAAAGCTTCTTTTTAGGTTTTATTTGAAGATATTTCCTTTTTCAGCATAGGCCTCAATGCACTCCCAAATACCCCTTCACAGTTGCTACCAAAACAGTGTTTCCACACCGGTGAATCAAATGAAATATTTAACTCTGAGAGATGAATGCACACATCACAAAGCGGTTTCTCTGAATGCTTCCTTGTAGTTTTTATCCTGTTATATTTGCTTTTTCACCTTTGGCCTTAATGATCTCCAAACTGTCCATTCTGAGAATGGACAAAAACAAGGTTTCCAAACTGCTGAACACAAAGAAAGGTTTATCTCTGTGAAATGATTGCACACACCCCAAAGCAGTTTCTCAGAAAGCTTCTTTCTTGCTTTTATGTGAAGGTATTTCCTTTTTTGCCATAAGCCTCAATGAGCTCCCAAATATCCCTTCACAGATTCTACCGAAACAGTGTTTCCAAACTGCTGAATGAAAAGAAAGGTTTAAATATGCTAGATAAATGAACACATCACAAAGCAGTTTATCTGATAGATTTCTTCTAGTTTTTATCCTGGGATATTTGCTTTTTTGCCATTGGCCTCCATGAGTTCCCAAATGTCCAGTTGCAGAATGGATAGAAACAGTGTTTGCAAACTATTTAATCCAAAGAAAGGTTTAACTCTGTGAGGTGAATGAACACATCACAAACAGTTTCTCAGAAATCTTTGCAGGTTTTATTTGAAGATATTTCCTTTTTAACCACAGACCTTAATATGCTTTCAAATATCCATTCACAGATTCTACTAAAACAGTGTTTCCAAACTGCTGAATAGAAAGAAAAGTTACACTCTGCTAGATGAATGCCCACACAAAAAGAAGTTTCCCAGAAAGCTTCTTTCTAGTTTTTATCTGAAGATATTTCCTTTTTTACCGTTTTCCTCAATATGCTCTCAAATATCTCTTCACAGATTTGACAAACACGTTTCTTCCAAACTACTGAATGAAAAGAAATGTTTACTCTGTGAGATGAAAGCACACATCACCAAGCACTTTCTCAGATAGATTTCTTCTAGCTTTTATCCTGGTATATTTGCTTTTCTGCCATTGACCTCAGTGAGTTCCCAAATGTCCATTCGCAGAATGAACAGAAACAGTGTTTCCAAACTGCTTAATCCAAAGAAAGGTTTAACACTTTGAGATGAATGTACACATTGCAAAGCAGTTTCTCAGAAAGCTTCTTTCTAATTTTTATCTGAAGATATCTCCTTTTCACCACAGGCCTCAATGCACTCCCAAATATGCCTTCACACACTCTACAAAAACAGTGTTTCCAAACTCTTCATTGAAAAGAAAATTTTAACTATGAGAGACGTATGCACACATAACAAAGCCATTTCTCATATATCTTCCTTTTAGTTTTTTTCATGGGATATTCACTTTTTCGATTCTGGCCTCAAGGAGTTCCAAATATCCCTTCGCAGATTCTACCAAAATAGTGTTTTCAAACTTCTGTATGAAGAGAAACTTTTAACTCTGTGAGATGAATACAGAAATCACATAGCTCTTTTTTATATAGCTTCCTCCTGTTTTTTCATCTTGATATATTTGCTTTTTCTCCTATTGCCTCAATGAGCTGTCAAATAACACTTCACAGATATAACAAATCTGTATTTCCAAACTGCTGATTCCAAAGCAAGGTTTAACTCTGTGAGTTGAATGCACACATCACAAATTAGTTTCTCAGAAACCTTCTTTCTAGTTTGTATTGGAAGATATTTTCTTTTTCACCATAGTGAAACAAACAGTGTCTACAAACTGCTGAATAAAAAGAAAAATTTAATGCTGTGAGATGAAGGCACACATCCCAATGCTGTTTCTCACATAGATACCTTCTAGTTTTAACCTGGGATAGTTGCTTTCTCACAATTGGCCTCAATATGCTCCCAAATATCCCTTCAGAGATTCTACAAAAAGAGTGATTCCAAACTGCTTAATGAAAAGAAAGGTTTAACTGTGAGATAAATGAACACATCACAAAGCAGTTTCTCAGAAAGCTTCTTTCTAGTTTTTACCTGAAGATATTTCCTTTTCCCCACAGGCCTCCATGTGCTAAAAAATATCCCTTTGTAGATTCTACAAAAACAGAGTTTTCATACTGCTGAATAAAAAGAAATGTTTAACTCTGCTAGATATATGCACACATCAGAATGCAGTGTCTCTGATTGTTTCCTTCTAGTTTTTTTCCTGGGATATTGCTTTTTCATATTTGGTTTCAGTGAGCTCCCAAATACCCTTTGCAGAATATACAAAAACTGTGTTTATAATCTGCTGGAACTAAAGAAAATTTTAACCCTGTTAGATGAATGCACACATCACAAAGCAGTTTCTCAGAAAGCTCTTTTCTAGTTTTTAACTGAACATATTTCTTTTTTCATCATAAGCCTCAATGAGCTTGCAAATATCCCTTCACAGATTCTACAAAACCGGGGTGTCCAAACTGCTGAATGAAAAGAAAGTTTTAACTCTGTGAGGTGTATGCACACATCCTAAAGTGGTGTCACAAATAGATTACTTCTAGTTTTTATCCAGCGATATTCACTTTATCTCCATTGGCTTCAATGAGGTCCCAAATATCCCTTTTCAGATTTTACAAAAAGACTGTTTCCAAACTGCTGAATCCCAAGAAAGTTTAACTCTGTGAGATAAATGCAGTCATCATAAAGCAGTTTCTCAGAAAGTTTCTTTCTAGGTTTTATCTGAAGATATTTCCTTTTTCACCATAGGCTCAATGTGCTCCCAAATATCCCTTCATAGTTGCTACCAAAAACAGTGTTTCCAAACTGCTGAATGAAAAGAAAGGTTTAACTCAGCGAGAAAAATGCACACATCACAAAGCGGTTTCTCAAATAACCTACTTCTAGTTTTTATCCTGGGATATTCTCTTTCTTGCCTTTGACCTAAATGACCTCTAAAATATCCATTTGCAGAATATACAAAGTGTCTCCAAGCTACTGATTCCAAAGAAGTTTTAAATCTGTGATATGTATGCACACATATCAAAGCAGTTTTGATAAAGCTTCTTTCTAGGTTTTATCTGAACATATTTCCTTTTTCACCTTAGGCGTCAATGTGTCCCCAAATATTCATACACACATTCTACCAAAACAGTTCCAAACTGCTGGATGAAAATAAAAGTGGAACTCTGCGAGATGAATGCACACATCACAAAGCAGTTTCTTTGATAGGTTTCTTCTGGTTTACATCCTTGGATATTTGCTTTTCTGCCTTTGGCCTCAATGAGCCTCCAAATGTCCATTTGCAGAATGGACAAAAACAGGGTTTCCTAACTGCTGAATCCAAAGTAAATTTTAAGTCTGTGAGATGAATGCATACATCACAAAGCAGTTTATCAGAAAGCTTCTTTCTAGTTTTTATCTGAAGATATTTCCTTTTTCACCATAGACCTCATTGCACTCCCAAATATCACTTTGCAGATTCTACAAAAACATGGTTTCCAAAGTGCTAAATGAAAAGTAATGTTTAACTCTGCAAGATGAATGCACACATCACAAAACGGATTCTCAGATAAATTCCTTTTAGTATTTATCCTGGGATTTGCATTTTTTCACCTATGGCCTCATTGAGCTATCAAATATCTCTTCACAGAGTCTTCAAAAAAGTGTTTACAAACTGCTGAATTGAAAGAAAAAATTAACTCTCTGAAATGAATGCCCACATCACAAGGCAGTTTCTCAGAAAGCTTCTTTCTAGTTTTTATCTGAAAATATTTCCTTCTTCACCATAGGCCTCAATGCACTCCTAAGTATCCCTTTGCAGACTCTACCAAAACAGTGTTTCCAAACTGCTGAATGAAAAGAAAGGTTTTGCTCTGCGAGATGAATGTACACATCACAAAGCAGTTACTCAGGTAGCTTTCTTTTGGTTTTTCTGCTGGGATATTTGCTTTTTTGCTATTGGCTTCAAAGAGCTCACAAATGTCAATTCGTAGACTGGACAAAAACAGTGTTTCCAAACTGATGAATCCAGAGAAATGTTCAACTCTGTGAGATGAATGCTCACATCATGAAGCAGTTTCTCAGAAAGCTTCTTTCTGTTTTTATCTGAAGATATTTCCTTTTTCATCACAGGTCTCAATGCGCTTACAAATATCCCTTCACAGATGCTACAAAAAACAGTGTTTCCAAACTATTGAATGAAAAAAAAATGTTTAACTCTGCGAGATGAATGCATACATCACAAAGCAGTTTCTGATATAGCTTAAGTCTATTTTTTATCCTGGGATATTCCCTTTTTTGCATTTGGCCTCAATGAGCTCCCAAACATCCCTTCCAAGATTCTACAAAAACAGAATTTCCAAACTGCTGAATGAAAAGAAAGTTTTAACTCTGTGAGATGAAAGCATACTTCACAAGGCGGTTTCTCAGATAGCTTCCTTCTAGTTTTTATCCTTGGATTTGCAGTTTTTCACCTATGGCCTCGTAGAGCTATCAAATATCCTTTCGCAGATTCTACAAAAACAGTGTTTCCAAACTGCTGACCTCAAAGAAAGCTTTAACTCAGTGAAATGAATGCACACATCACAAAGCAGTTTCTCAGAAAGCTTCTTCCTCGTTTTCATCTGACGATATTTCCATCTTCACCATAGGCCTTAATGGGCTCTTAAATATCCCTTTGCAAATCTTACCAAAACAGTATTTCCAAACTGCTGAATGAAAAGAAAAGTTTAACTCTGGGAGATGAATGGACACATCACAAAGCGATTTCTCAGAAAGCTTTCTTCTAGTTTTTATCCTGGGATATTCACTTTTTTGCTATTGGCCTCAAAGAGCTCAAAAATGTCAATTCGTAGACAGGCAAAAACAGTTTTTCCACACTGATGAATCCAAAGAAAGATTTAACTCTGTGAGATGAATGCTTATCTCACAAAGCAGTTTCTCAGAAAGCTTCTTTCTGTTTTTATCTGAAGATATTTCCTTTTCAGGGTAGCTCTCAATGTGTTTCCAAATAACCCTTCTCAGTTTCTAGAAAAACAGTGTTTTCAAACTATTGAGTAAAAGAAAGGTTTAACTCTGCAAGATGAAAGCAAAAATCACAAAGCAGTTTCTGAGGTAGCTTAAGTCTATTTTTATCCTGGGATATTCACTTTTTCACCTTTGGCCTCAATGAGCTCCCAAACATCCCTTCTCAGATTCTACCAAAACAGTGTTTCCAAACTGCTGAATGAAAAGAAAGGTTTAAATCTGTGAGCTGAAAGCATACTTCACAAGGCAGTTTCTCAGATATATTTCTTCTAGTTTTTATCATAAGATATTCACTTTTTTGCCATTGGCCTCAATGAGCTCCAAAATGTCCATTTGAAGAAATGACAAAAACAAACTTTCCAAACTGCTGAATGCAAAGACAGTTTTAACTCTTTGAGATGAATGCACATATCACAAAGCAGTTTCTCAGAAAACTTCTTTCTAGTTTTTGTCAGAAGATATTTCCTTTTTCACCATTGGCCTTAATGCGCTCCCAAATATCCCTTCACAGATTCTACCAAAAGAGTGATTCCACACTGCTGAATGAAAAGAAAGTCTTAACTCTGTGAGATGAATGCACACATTACAAAGTGGTTTCTCAGGTAGATTTCTTCTAGTTTTTATCCTGAGATATTCTCTTTTTTGACCTTGGCCTCAATGAACTCCAAAACATCCCTTTGCAGATTCTTCATAAACAGTGTTTCTAAACTGCTGAATGAAAAGAAAGGTTTAACTGTGCAAGTTGAATACACACATCACAAAACTATTTCTCAGATAGCTTTCTGTCTATTTTTTATCCTGGTATATTCACTTTTTCTCCATTGACCTCAATGAGCTCTGAAATGTCCATTCACAGAATGGACAAAAACAGTGTTTCCAAACTGCTGAACTCAAAAAAAGTTTTAACTCTGTGAGATGAATGTACACATCACAAAGCAGTTTCTCAGAAAGTTTCTTTCTAGCTTTTATCTGAAGATAATTCCTTTTCACATAGACCTCAATGCACTCCCTAATATCCCCTTGCAGATTCTATCAAAACACTGTTTCCAAAATGCTGAATGAAAAGAAAGCTTGAACTCTGATTGTTGAATGCACACATCACCAAGCAGTTTCTCAGATAGCGTCCTTGTAGTTTTTATTCCTGGATATTCTCTTTTTTGCCATTTTCCTCAAAGAGCTCCCAAATATACCCTTGCATATTCTACAAAAACAGTTTATCCAAACAGCTGAATCAAAAGAAACTTTTATCTCTGTGAGATGAATGCACACATCACAAAGCAGTTTCTTGGAAAGCTTCCTTCTAGTTTTTATCTGAAGACTTTTCCTTTTTCACCATAGGCCTCAATGGGCTCAGAAGTATTCCTTTGCAGATTCTACAAAAACAGCGTTTCCTAATTGTGGCATAAAAAAGAAAGATTGAACACTGTGAGATGAATGCACACATCACAAAGCAGTTTCTCAAATAACTTCCTTACAGTTTTTATCTTGGGATATTCAATTTTTTGCCATTGGTCTCAATGGGCTCCCTAATGTCCATTCTCAGAATGGGCAAAAACAATTTTTCCAAACTGCTGAATCCAAAAAAATGTTTAATGCTGTGAAATGAATACAAACATTACAAAGCAGTTTCTCAGAAAGCTTCTTTCTAGTTTTTATCTGAAGTTGTTTCCTTTTTAACCATAGGCCTCAATTCGACCTGAAATATCCCTTTGCAGATTCTCCAAAAACGGTGTTTCTAAATTACTGAATCTAAAGAAAGGTTTAACTCTGTGAGGTGAATGCGCACATCACAAAGCTGTTTCTCAGAAAGCTTCTTTCTAGTTTTCATCTGAAAATATTTCCTTTTTCACCATAGATCTCATTGCGCTCCCAAATATCCCTTTGGATATTCTACCAAAACTGTGTTTGCAAACTGCTAAATGAAAAGACAAGTTTAACTTTGCTAAATGAATGCACACAAAGAAGGGTTTTTCTCAGATAGCTTCCTTCTACTTTTATCGTGGGATATTCGTTTGTTTGCCATGGAACTCAATGAGCTCACAAATATCCATGTGCAGATTGAGAAGAAAAAAAGTGTTTCCAAACTGTTGAATCCAAAGAAATGTTGAACTCTGTGAGATGAATGCACACATCACAAAGCAGTTTCCCAGAAAGCTTCTTTCTAGCTCTTATCTGAATATATTTCCTTTTTAACCGTAGGTGTCAATGAGCTCCCAACTATCCCTTCCCAGATTGTACCAAAACAGTGTTTCCAAACTGCTGAATGAATAGAAAGTTTTAACACTGTGAGATGAATAAGCACATCATACAGCAGTTTCTCAGATAGCTTTCCTGTAGTTTTTAATCCTGGGAGACTTGCTTTTTTGCCATTTGCCTCCATGAGCTCACATATGTCCATTAGCACAGTGGACAAAAACAGTGTTTCCAAACACTGAATCCAAAAAAAGGTTTACCTCTGTCAGGTGAATGAACACATCACAAAGCAGTTTCTCAGAAAGCTTCCTTCTAGTTTTTATCAGAAGATAACTCCTTTTTCACAATAGGATTCAATGCGCTCCCAAATATCCATTCAAAGATTCTACCTAAACAGTGTTTCCAATCTACTGAATGACAAGAAATATTTAACTCTGTGAGATGAATGCACATATCATGAAGTGGTTTCTCAGATAGCTTCTTCCTCGTTTTTATCTCAGGATATTTCCTTTTTTGCCATTGTTCTCAATGAGCTCCCAAATGTTCATTTGCAGAAAGGACAAAAACAGTGTTTCCCAACTTCTGAATCCTAAGAAAGGTTTTTCTCTGTGAGATGAATGCACACACCCCAAAGCAGTTTCTCGGAAAGCTTCTTTCTAGTTTTTATCTGAAGATATTTCCGTTTTCACAACAGGCCTTGATGTTCTCCCAAATATCTCTTCGCAGTCTCTACCAAAACAGCGTTTCCAAACTGCAGAAGAAAAGAAAGGTTTAACTCTGTGAGATGAATGCTCACATCACAAAGTGGTTTCTCAGATAGCTTCCTTTTGGTTTTTATCCTTGGATATTCAGTTTTTCAACTTTGGCCTCAATGAGCTCCCAAATATCCCTTTGCAGATTCTCCAAAAACAGTGTTTCCAAATTACTGAATTTAAAGAAAGGTTTACCTCTGTGAGGTTAATGCCCACAACACAAAGCAGTTTCTCAGAAAGCTTCTTTCTAGTTTTCATCTGAAGATATTTCCTTTTTCACCGTAGGCCTTAATGCATCCCCAAATATCCTTTTGCAGATCCTAAAAAAAAAGTGTTTCCAAACTAGTGAATTCACAGGAGAACCCACCCCCGATAATTCAACATATTTCCCATAGGTTCTTTTCTATTTCCCTAAGTGTGGGCCAGTCTGAGAAATAATGTGAAAGATTACAAAAGAGAGAATTTTTGAAGCTGGGTATCCGGGGGAGACACCATATGTCAGCAGGTTCCGTGATGCCCCCCTAAGCTGCTAAACGAGCTAGGTTTTATTAGTGATTTTCAAAGGTGATGGAGTGTACGAATAAGGTGTGAGTCACAGAGATCACATACTTCACACTGTAGTAAAATATTACAAGGCAAAAGGATTAAGGGTGAGATCACAGGACCGGGGTGAAATTAAAGTTACTAATGAAGTTTCAGGCATGCCTTTTCACTGATAACATCTTATCAGGAGACACGGCTTGAGAGCAGACAACCTGTCTGACCAAAATTTACTAGGCAGGCATTTCCTTACCCTGGGAGTGCTGTGGGAGACCGGTGCTTATTTCATCCCTTATCTGAAAACATAAAAGACAGACATTCCCAGATCAGCCATTTTGGAGACCTACCCCTGGGAATGAATTCCTTCTCAGTGTTGTTTCTTGCTGAGGAAAAGAATTCAGTGATATTTCTCCTATTTGCTTTTGAAAGAAGAGAAATATGGCTCTGTTCCACCTGGCTCCCAGGCAGTTAGACAAAATGGTTATTTCCATTGTTTCCTGTATATTGCTGTTATCCTCTTCTTTTTTCAAGGTGCCCAGATATCATATTGTTTAAACAATTTGTGTGGTTAACGCAATCATCACAGGGTCCTGCGGCGACATACATCCTCAGCTTATGAAGATGATGGGATTAAGAGATTAAACTAAAGACAGGCATAGGAAATCACAAGAGTATTGATAGGGGAAGTGATAAATGTCCATGAAATCTTCTCAATTTATATTCAGAGATTGCATTAACGATGGGCCTCAGAAATTATAAAAGTATTCATTTGGGGAACTAATAAATGTCCATGAAATCATGATAGTGTATGTTCTTCTGCCATGGCTTCAGCCAGTCCCTCCACTTGGGGTCCGTGACTTCCCACAACATCTCTCCCTTTCTTTTCATATAAATGTGACATGGCGATGAAGGCTTGTTCATTCTCTTGATTTTGATGCAGGATTCTTTGACTGGTCCAGCACAGTAGAGACAAGGCGATTAAACAGAGGAACAAAATTCGAAAATTTACTACAGTGGAACCCCCAATAGACTTAATCCAAGTCATGGGGTTTAATCTAGAAAGATTGTCTGCTGCCTGATCTAAAGCCTCAGCTCCAGGCACAATGGATAAAGGAGCTTGAGAATCTTTAAAAATTTGTTTCTTTAATTTAATTAAGTTCAATGATAAATTATCTTCCCTACCCCGTAGGTGTCCTTTGACCACTTCCCATGAATGATCAGTCTCATTATAGGAATATTGGCTGATACAGAAATCAGAAGTCTTCCAATCGCACTGCATTTGCCTGTGATGTTCAAGTCTCAGTACCCGATCTCCAAGTCAAATAGCAGACTGTCTTAAATCATTAATTTGATTAGCCAATGTTTGATCAAATTCTTCTTGAGAATTTCACATTTGGGTGGAATTGGCTTGCCAATCATTAACAAAAAGAGTCGTTTGAATAGATTGATGTAATGCCATTCTGGCAGTGGTGGCCATTGCAGTGACTGTAATTAGGCCCATGGTCACAGCAATTAAAGTGAAAACAAATCTCTTAGATCTTTTTAGAATTCTCTGGAACACTTCATTAATTAAATGTATTTAGTGAGAAGATTTCCAAGGTCTGGGCAAATTTACTGGAATCCAGATTCCTTCTCCAGCTCGAATCAACATTACACTTTTCCTGGAGTTAAAATAGGAGTTAATACAAGTGTATAAATGACAATTAATGCATTGGTAAATTTCATTGTTTGCCCAAATTTTGATATTTCCCATTAAAAACATGTAAGGAGGCTTAGCACAACTCTCTATGGGAATAGTCAGGTTGGGGGTAAGCAAAGCAGAATTTCTGGTCTACGTTGATACTGAGAGAAGGGGGCGGCAGTGGGAACAACAGACAGAATATTTTCCCCTTCCCATACTCACAGTCCTGACACGGCAATAGCCAATTTCCAAAGTTCTGGGTGTTCTGATCTTAGAATGGGAAGTATCATACAAGTCCTTGGGAGAGTAATGCCTTTATCCTCCCATTTTAATGGAAAGAATTAGCTGAACCTCTTATGCAAAGTAGAATGATGATTCTCCTTCTCCCAATAAGAAATAAAATAAGTAGCCTCCAGGCATTCTCTTTCATCAGAGGAACTATTGTTTTTTAAATAGCCCTTTGGTGCCCAGTATATTACTAAAACATATGAGTCATTTTTTAATATTACTGCATGTGAGTTAACACAATCTTCCCAAATTAAAGTTTTAGGTGGGCCCTCAAAATGTTTATGGCATGGTTTTCCTGCAGGTTTATATTGAAATTATGGATTATCTCCTATTACTCCCACTTTCATTTGTTTTAAAGGAGAAAGGGAGAGGCCGGAGACCAAATGTCCTGGTTCCTCTGTAGCTGATCTCTCTGGAAGATAAGCAGCCCAGACAAAGTTTTTGACACAGAATGAGGAAGAGAACACCACTACACTAAATCATTATGTTGAACTACTAGTCCAGTAGGGGAGAGTAGTGAAGCAAAAACCAGAAGCTGAAAAGGCTGAAACAGCTGTACTCTAGATAACTGGGTGGTATAGATTCTTTCCTCTATGAAGTCCAGTTCTACTGAAGTCTCAGGGGTCAAAATCTTGGGACTGTGGAGATTGGAATCTCCCCACAGCATAGAAAACAAGTTAGATAGTGCATGGGTCAGAATGCCTAAAGTAGGTCTTAAATAATTAATATTACCCAAAAGTTTTTGGAAGTAATTTAAAGTTTTCAAAGACTCTCTTCTAATTTGAACTTTTTGAGGTCGAATATGTTGTTTGTCGACCACCATTTCTAAATATTGAACAGGAGGGGTCTGTTGAATTTCATCCTGAGTGATGTGAAATCCAGCCTCTGTAACATGGTGGCTCACTCTTTGATAACAGTCAATTAATTCTTTATCAGTGGGGGCAGCAATTAAAATATCATCAATAAAATGAAGAATATAGGCCTGGGGAAATTGGGCTCCAACTGGTGAAAGCACTTGTTCAACATAAAGCTGGCAGATGGTAGGGCTATTTAGCATTCCCTGAGGAAGTATTTCCATTGATAATGAGCTGCAGCCTCCTGATTATTGATACATGGTACAGTAAAAGCAAATTTTTCACAATCTGATTTATGTAAAGGAATATAAAAAAAAATTTTTAAGTTCAATAACTATGAGAGGCCAATTTTTAGGTATTAAAGCCGGGGCACACGTGCTGGTTTGCATGGCACCCATAGGTTTAATTACAGTGTTAATGGCCCTTAAATTTGTTACCATCTGCCACTTGCCTGATTTCTTTTTATACTAGAAACACAGGAGAATTCCATGGGGAAAGAAAAGGTTCCACATTTCCAAGTTGTAACTGTTTAGAATCCAGGTGAGTTAAAGCCTCCAGTTTTTCTTTAGAAAGTGGCCACTGCTGTATGCAAATGGGTGTGTCAGATTTCCATTGTAAAGGGATGGGATTAGGAGGTGTGGCAGCAGCTGCCGTTAAATATGGTAACCTAATCTCTCCCTGTTTTCTTTTACAGTAACTGGGAGGGGTTTGGCAATCTCTTCATGTTTTGGACTGAGAACAAGTCCAAGAACAAACGCTATGTTTTCCATCATATGCTGACTGGGAGCACTATAAGAGTCATGTGGAATATTAATTTCAGCCCCCCAATGTCCCAGTAAATCTCTGTTCCAAAGATTAATGGGGATTGGAGTGATATAAGGCTGAATGGTTCCCCTTTGACCATCAGAGCTAGTGCAAGACAACACAAATGTGCTCTCATAAACTTCCTCAGCTTTTTCAACACCTAGTAGTCTCATGTTAGCAGAATGTTTAAGCCAGGAAGAAGGTCACAAACTAGAGGAAATAACAGAAACATCAGCCCCAGTATCTACTAGGCCCTCAAGCCTTTTTTCTTGACTGTGTATGGTGCAGGGGGGCCGTTGTTTAGAAACTATGTTAATCCAATAAGCGACATTTTCACCACTGGTGCCAATCCCAGGGTCACGTGTCTTATCTCCTTTGTTTAAAACGATATTAGGTAGTAAAAGCAATTGAGCAATTGACTCACTGGCTGGAATGGAAACAGGAACCTTGGAAGACACCATTAATTTAATCTCATTAACAGAATCAGAATAAATGAGACCAGTGTGAATGGTGATTCTTGTAGCAGAGGTGGATGTCCTACCTAAAACCAGGCTGACCAAACCTTGAGGTAAAGGGCCAGTGTCTCCCATGGGGACAATGAAAGGCAAAGAGTTAGGTAGTAAATTTAGAGGAATAGTACTACAGAGATCGACCACCTCATCCCTTACTGTGGAGGTGGACAAGCATTGTACTGAAACAGAAGGAGAGGCTGAGACACATTTGAGTTGGCTGTAGGTAAATTTGTTTGTGCTGGGGGTTGTGTTGGGACCACCTGAGGCAGAAACACAACATTGGTCTGAGTCTGAGGCATCCCAATTGATATCCGGTCCCAGGACCTTCCCCACTCCCCATTTCCCTGGTGTTGTGGCAGTGGGTTTCCATCATCTATATCATACATAGAGCAGCAATTATTTGCCCAATATTTACCTTTATGACAACGTGGGCAAACAGTAGCAGTGGCATTTGGCCATGTTTGTTGAGCCAGCTTGGCTGCTTTTAAGTTTTTAACAGTGTAATTTTTTTATTATGACCAAGTTGACTGCAAGTAGACAATGCTCCAAGAAAAGAATTAGTGGGACGAGTTTTGTTGGTGTCCTTCATCGCCCATGCCCACAGAATAGCTTTGTGGGTGTCTGATCCAATACCTTCACAAGCTTTAATAAATGTAGGCAACACCTCATGATGAAGCATATTTTGTCTTTGGACAGAACACACGGCCATTTTACACTCATGGTTAGCATTTTCAAAAGGTAACATATGAAGTAGAATACCTTGCGTGTACAAATCAGAGACAGATTTTTGAACAGCTTCTTGTAATTTAGCTAAAAAGTAGGGTATAATTCAGAGTGACTTGTTTAACCATGGTAAAAGAAACAGGAGCTTGGCCTAGAGTGAGTAATTTATCCCAAGCTCTCATACACACCTTTGTTACTTGTTCCATGGTAAGAATATCAAAGTTTAATTGGTCATAAGCATCAGAGAAACTATCGGAGCCTGTGAGCTGAGCCTGAGTAATTAGAATGCCATTAGTCCGATTTAGCTGAGCTTGTAAATGGGCATCTTCTGACAACCAGGTACGAAATTGTAAATGCTGAGATGGGGTTAGAACAGCTTTTGGCAAAATGTCCCAGTTGAAAGGAAGCAAAATGACCTCAGTACACAAAGGTATACTGTTTTGACTAAGGAGAAGTAGGACCATACTGAGTACAAGCATCCTTAAATTATTTTAAAAAGGTAAGATTAAGAGGTACATAATGATGCATTTGTACCCCTCGGAAGTTTGGAGGGTGTAATGCAACTGGATAAGTCCACACATCTAATCCAATTGTTTCTTTGTTTTGCATAATAGCTGTTGCATTTAAATTTCAAGAGTAGGCATCTCAGAGTCAGCAAATAAGTGACAGGAAATGCATGTGTAGATAAGGGAAACTGAGGGTGAGGGGGTCGGACCGGAATGAGAGTGTGAGAAAGGGTCACTGGGGGAGTAGAAGGAGCCGAACTATACTGGTGATTACCAGCGTCTATGTGTGAAGAATGGTACAGAGAAGCAGGCTTAGTGGATGGCAAAGTGACTGGTTGAGGAACTGAAATGACAGGAGAGTGAGGGGATGAAATGGACGGGGGAGGGTATGAAGAATTATAAGTAAATTGTATTTAGTTCCTGGAGCCATTAGGTGACTCCGGAGGTGTGAAGAGAGAAGAATTAGCATATATATGGTCCCGGGTTGTCAAAGTCGGGGCCGTGGGAGCTTCAAGTACAAGCTATTCATGAAAAGAAATAAAATAATTGGGGGGGGGGTGACGATAATCCAAAGTCCCCAGAGTTAGACATTGAAATCTCAATATGGTCAGGTTGGGGAGGAGTAGTCGAAGGGAGAGGCTGATCAGATAACAAATGCCATGCAAGAGAGGAAGATTGATGAAGAAGTCATCAGATTCAGAAAACTGTGGTAACTGTAAGGGGACACGGGATTGGTGTGTCATCAGGAAGGCAAGAAACAAGTCTCAATTACCCCAAAGATTGATGGAAACATAATTCCCAGTGGAGACCAGTTCCCGAAATTTTGCACCAACACAATCCCGTAGTTCTACATCTAAGGTTCTTTTATCATGAAACCAAGGACAGTGTTTTTCTACAGCATTGAATAGAGTGACCATGTTTTCCATGGTTACTCAGACCTTACCCTGTTTTAACAAGAATTTAATATAGCAGATTTAAGCATGATGTTAGACTCTGCATGACCCATAGCTAACCCAGACCATACACAGACAACTCACCAGACATCAGGGAGTCAAACAAGCATTTCTGTTGACCAAACTGATGACGTTTTTCCACATCTACCAAAGGGAATTGGGTTCCCAAATGCACTTGGGAAAAAGAAAAAACCACATTGGAGTGCCAGATATCAGGGGAACCCACCCCTGATAAATCAACATATTTCACATAGGTTCTTTTCTATTTACCTAACTGTTGGCTGGTCTGTGAAATAAAGGGAGAGTACAAGAGAGAAATTTTAAAGCTGGGTATCCAGGGGAAACATCCCATGTTGGCAGGTTCCCTGATGCCCCCAAGCCACAAAATCAGCAAGTTTTTATTAGTGATTTTCAAAGGGGATGGAGTGTACAAATATGGTGTGGGTCACAGAGATCGCATGCTTCACAAGGTAATAAAATATTACAAGGCAAACAGAGACAGGGTGAGGTCACAGGACCAGGGAAAAATTAAAATTGCTAATGAAGTTTTGGGCATGCATTGTCATTGATAATGTCTTATCAGGAGACAGGGTTTGAGAGCAGACAACCGGTCTGACCAAGATTTACTAGGTGGGAATTTCTTTGTCCTAATAGGCCTGGGAGTAGTACTGGAGATCGGGGCTTATTTCATCCCTTATCTTCAACCATAAAAGACAGACGTTCCCAGAGTGGCCATTTTAGAGACCTACCCTGGGAATGCATTCTCTTTCTCAGGGCAGTTCTTTGCTGAAAAAAAGAATTCAGCGATATTTCCCCTACTTGATTTGGAAATAATATAAATATAGCTCTCTTCCACCTGGCTCTAAGGCAGCCAGACCTAATGGTTATCTCCATTGTTCCCTGAACATCACTGTTATTCTGTTCTTTTTCCATGATACCCAGATTTCATATCATTTAAACAATTTATGCAGTTAATGCATTCATCACAGGGTCCTGAGGCGACATAAAACCTCAGCTTAAAAAAATGACAGGATTAAGAGATTAAAGTAAAGCCAGGTATAGGAAATCACAAGAGTATTGATCGGGGGAGTGATAAATGTCCATGAAATCTACTCAATTTCTGTTCAGAGATTGCAATAAAGACAGGTGTAAGAAATTATAAAAGTATTCATTTGGGGAACTAATAAATGTCCATGGAATTTTCACAGTTTACATTCTTTTTCCATGGCTTCAGTCAGCCCCTCCTTTTGGGGTCCCTGACTTCCCCCAAGAGTTTCCAAACTGCTCAATGGCAAGAAAGGTTACACTCTGCGAGATGAATGCACACATCACAAAGCGGTTTCCAGGTGGCTTCCTTCTAGTTTTTGTACTGGGATACTCACTTTTTTGCCATTGGCCTCAATGTGCTCCCAAATGTCCATTCACAGAATGGACAAAAACAGAATTTCCAAACTGCTGAATCCAAAGAAAGGTTTATATTTGTGAGATGAATGAGTACCTCACAAGCTAGTTTCTCAGAAACTTCTTTCTAGTTTTTATCTGAAGATATTTCTTTTTTCACCATAGGCCTGAAAACACCCCCCAATATCCCTTTGTAGATTTTACCAAAACAGTGTTTCCAAACTGCTGAATGAAAAGAAAGGTTTAACTCTGTGACATGAATGCACACATAACAAAGTGGTATCTCAGATAGCTTCCTTCTACTTTTTATCCTGGGATATTCACTTTTTTGCCTTTGGCCTCAATGAATTCCCAAATATCCCTTTGCACATTCTAAAAAAAGAGTCTTTCCAAACTGCTGAATTGAAGGGAAGGTTTATCTCTGTGAGATGAATACACACATCCCAAAGCAGTTTCTCAGAAAGGATCTTTCTAGTTCTTATCAAAAGATGCTTCCTTTTTCACTATAGGCTTCAATTCACTCACTACTTCAAAAATTCTACCAAACCAGTGTTTTCAAATTGCTGAAGGAAAAGAAAGGGTTAACTCTGCAAGATGAATGCACAGATCACAAAGCAGTTTCTCAGATAGCTTCATTCTAGTTTTTACACTGGGATATGCTCTTTTTTGCCTTTGGCCTCAATGAGGTCCCAAATGTTGATTCGCAGAATGGACAAGAACAGTGTTTCCAAATTGATGAATCCAAACAAAGTTTTAACTCTGTGAGATGAATGTACAGATCACACAGAAGTTTCTCAAAAATCTTCCTTCTACTTTTTATCTGAAGGTAATTTCTTTTTAACCATAGGCCTCAGTTACTCCTAAATATCCCTTCACAGATTTTACAAAAAACATTCTAAACTGCTGAAAGAAAGGAAGGTTTTAACTCTCAGAGATGAATGCACACATCAGAAACTGATTTCTCAGACAGCTTTCTTCTAGTTTTCATCCTGGGATATTTGCATTTTTATGATTGGATTCAAGGACTTCCAAAAGTCCATTTGCAGAATGGACAATAACTGTTTACAAACTGCTGAATCTAAAGAAAGGATTAACACTCTGAGGTGAATGCTCACGTCCCAAAGCAGTTTCTCAGAAAGCTTCTTGCCAGTTTTTATCTGAAGATACCTCCTTTTTCACCATATGCCTCAAAACGCTCCCAAATATCCCTTTGCAGTTTCTACCAAGACAGTTTTTCCAAACTGCTAAATTAAAGAAAGGTTGAAATCTGTGAGATGAATGCACACATCACAAAGCGAGTTCTCAGGTAGTTTCCTTATAGTTTTTATCCTGGGATATTTGCTTTTTTGCCTTTTGCCTCAATGAGCTACCAAATATCCCTTCACAGAGCTACCAAATATCCCTTCACAGATTCTACAAAAACAGTTTTTCAAAACTGCTGAATCTATAGAAAGGTTTAAACCTTTGAAATGAATACACACACACCAAAGCAGTTTTTCCAAAAGCTTCTGTCTAGTTTTTATCTGAAGTTATTTCCTTTTTCACAGTAGGCCTCAATGCACTGCCAAATATCTTTTATCAGATTCTACCAAAACAGTGTTTCCAAACTGCTGAATGAAGGCTGGTTTAACTTATGCAAATCAATAAACATAATCCTACATACAAACAGAACCAAAGACAAAAACCACATGATTATCTCAATAGATGCAGAAAAGGCCTTTGACAAAGTTCAACAGCCTTTCATGATAAAAACACTCAATAAATTAGGTATTGATGGGACATATCTCAAAATAATAAGAGCTATTTATGACAAACACACAGGCAATATATTGAATGGGCAAAACCTGGAAGCACTCTCTTTGAAAACTGGCACAAGGCAGTGATGCCCTCTCTCACCCCTCCTATTCAATATAGTGTTGGAAATTCTGGCCAGGATAATTAGGCAGGAGAAAGAAATAAATGGATATCACTTATGAAAAGAGGAAATCAATTTGTCTGTGTTTGCAGATGACACGATTACATATTTAGTATTCCCCATTATCTCAGCCCCAAATCTCCTTAAGCTGATAAGCAACTTCAGCAAAGTCTCAGGATATAAAATCAATGTGCAAAATTCACAAGCATTCTTATACACCAATAAGAAACACACAGCCAAATCATGAGTGAACTCCCATTCACAATTGCTTCAAAGAGAATAAAATACCTAGGAATCCAACTTACAAGGGATGTGAAGGACCTTTTCAAGGAGAACTACAAACCACTGCTCAACAAAATAAACGAGGACACAAACAAATGGAAGAATATTCCATGCTCATGGATAGGAAGAATCAATATCATGAAAATAACCATATTGCCCAAAGTAATTTACAGATTCAATGCCATCCCCATCAAGCTACCAATGACTTTCTTCACAGAATTGGAAAAAACTCTTAAAGTTCATATAGAACCAAAAAACAGCCCACATTGCCAAGTTAATCCCAAGCCAAAAGAATAAAGCTGGAAGAATCACGCTACCTGACTTCAAACTCTACTACAAGGCTACAGTATCCAAACAGAGATATAGACCAATGGAACAGAACAGAGCCCCAAGAAATAATACCACACATATATAACCATCTGATCTTTGAAAAACCGGACAAAAACAATAAATGGGGAAAAGATTCCCTATTTAATAGATGGTGGTGGGAAAACTGGCTTGCCATATGTAGAAAGCTGCAACTGGATCTCTTCCTTACACCTTATACAAACATTAATTCAAGATGGATTAAAAACCAAACACCGCATATTCTCAATCACAGGTGGGAATTGAACAATGAGATCACATGGACACAGGAAGGGGAATATCACACTCTGGGGACTGTGGTGGGGTGGGGGGAGGGGGGAGGGATAGCACTGGGAGATATACCTAATGCTAGATGATGAGTTAGTGGGTGCAGCGCACCAGCATGGCACATGTATACATATGTAACTAACCTGCACAATGTGCACATGTAACCTAAAACTTAAAGTATAATAATAAAAAAAAGACTTAAATGTTAGACCTAAATCCATTAAAACCCTAAAAGAAAACCTAGGCAATACCATTCAGGATAAAGGCATGGGCAAGGACTTAATGCCTAAAACACCAAAAGCAAGCAAAAAAAGCCAAAATTGAAAAATAGGATCTAATTAAACTAAAGAGCTTCTGTAAAGAAACTACTGTTGGAGTGAACAGGCAACCTACAGAATGGGAGAAACATTTTTGCAATGTACTCATCTGACAATGGGCTGATATCCAGAATCTAGAAAAAACTCAAACATAGTTACAAGAAAAAAAAAACAAAAAACTGAATCAAAAAGTGGGTGAAGTATATTAACAGACATTTCTCAAAAGAAGACTTTTATGCAGCCAACAGAAACATGAAAAAAATGCTCATCATCACTGACCATCAGAAAAAATGCAAATCAAAACTTCAATGAGATACCATTTCACACCAGTTAGAATGGCAATCATTAAAAAGTCAGGAAACAATAGGTGCTGGAGAGGATGTGGAGAAATAGGAATACTTTTACAATGTTGGTGGGACTGTAAACTAGTTCAACCATTGTGGAAGACAGTGAGGCAATTCCTCAAGTATCTAGAACTAGAAATACCATTTGACCCAGCCAACCCATTACTGGGTACATACTCAAAGGATTATAAATCATGTTGCTATAAACACACATGAACACATATGTTTATTGTGACATTATTCACAATAGCAAAGACTTGGAACCAACCCAAATGTCCAACAATGATAGACTGGATTAAGAAAATGTGGCACATATACACCATGGAATACTACACAGACAGGAAAATGGATGAGTTCATGTCATTTGTAGGGACATGGATGAAGCTGGAAACCATCATTCTCAGCAAACTATAGCAAAGACAAAAAACCAAACACCGCATGTTCTAACTCATAGATGGCAATTGAACAATGAGAAGACATGGTCAAAGGAAGGGGAACATCACACATGGGGGCCAGTCATGGAGTGGGGCAGGGGGGAGGGATAGCATTATGAGATATACCTAATGTTAATGATGAGTTAATGGGTGGAGCACACCAACATAGCACATGTATACATATGTAATAAACCTACACGTTGTGCACATATACTCTAGAAATTAAAGTACAATTGAAGAAACGAAAAGAAAGGTTTAACTCTGTGGGATGAAGACACACATCCCAAACTGGCTTCACAGATTGCTTCATTCTAGTTTTTATCCTGGGAAATTTGTTTTTTCACCATTGGCATCAAAGAGGTCCCAAATGTCCAATTACAGAATGGACAATACAGTGTTTCCAAACTGCTGATTCAAAAGAAATGTTTAACTCTGTGAGATGAATGTTGACCTCACAAAGTGGTTTCTCAGATACCTTCCTTCCAGCTTTTATCATGGGATATTCACTTTTTCCCCTATGGCCTCAATGAGCTATGAAATATCCCTTCACAGATGTGACAAAAACAGTGTTTCCAAATTACTGAATCCAGAGAAATGTTTAAATTTGTGAGATGAATGCACACATCATGAAGCAGTATCTCAGAAATCTTCTTTCCAGTTTTTATCTCAAGGTATTTCTTTTCACCACAGGCTTTAAAGTGTTCCCAAATATCCCTTTGGAGATTCTATCAAAACAGTGTTTCCCAACTGCTGAATGAAAACAAAGGTTTCACTCTGCGAGATGAAAATGCCCATCAAAACAGCTCCTCAGATAGCTTCCTTCTAGGTTTTGTCATGGGATTTTTGCTTTTTCACTTATGGCCTCAATGAGATCTATAATATTCCTTCATAGAGTCTACAAAAACAGTGTTTCCAAACTGCTGAATCCAAAAAACAGTTTACCTCTGTGAGATGAATGCACACACCACAAAGCAGTTCCTCAGAATGCTTCTTTCTAGTTTTTATCTGAAGACATTTCTTTTTTCACCATAGGCCACAATGTGCTCCCAAATATTCTTCAGAGATTCTACTGAAACAGTGTTTTCAAACTGCTGAATGGAAAGAAAAGCTTAACTCTGTGACATGAATGCACACATCACAAGGAGGTTTCTCATTTAGTTTCATTCTAGTTTTTATCGTGGGGTATTCGCTTTTTCCCCTATGGCCTCTCTGAGATATCCAATATACCTTCGCAGAGGCTATGAAAAGTATTTCAAAATTACTGAATACAAAGAAACATTTAAATATGTGAGATGGATGCACACATTGCAATGCAGATTATCAGAAATCTTATTTCTAGTTTTATCTAAGATAAATGCACACATCCCAAACCAGTTTCTCAAAAAGCTTTTTTCTAGTTTTTAGCTGAAGATATTTCCTTTTTCACCACAGGCCTCAATGTGCCCCCAAATATCCCTTTGCAGATTCCACAAAAACAGTGTTTCCAAACTGCTGAATGAAAAGAATCATTTAACTCTGTGAGATGAATGCACACATCACAAAGTTTTTTCACAGATAATTTTCTTCTGGTTTTCTTTCTGGGGTATTCGCATTTTCACGATTGGAACCAAGAACCTCCAAAAGTCAATTCTCAGAATGGACAATAACAGTGTTTACAAACTGCTGAATCCAAAGAAAGGTTTAATTCTGGGAGGTGAATGCACACGTCCCAAAGCAGTTTCTCAGAAAGCTTCTTGCTAGTTTTTATCTGAAGATAATTCTTTTTTCTCCATAAGCCTAAATGGGCTCCCAAATATCCCTTTGCAGATTCTAGAAAACAGAGTTTCCAAACTGATGAATGAAAAGAAAGTTTTACCACTGTGTGATGAAGGCACACATCAAAAGTGCTTTCTCAGATAGCTTCCTTCTAGTTTTGTCCTGGGATATTCACTTCTTCATGGCATCAACGAGCTATCAAATATACCTTCACAGATTCTACAACAATAGTGTTTCCAAACTGCTGTCTCCAAAGACAGTTTTAACTCTGTGAGATTAATGCTTACATCATAAAGCAGTTTCTCAGAAAGCTTTTTTCTAGTTTTTATCTGAAGATTTTCCTTTTTCACCATAGACCTCAATGAGCTCCCAAACACCCCTTCACAGATTCTACAAAAACAGTGTTTCCAAAATGCTGACTGAAAAGAAAGTTTTAAACCTGTGAGATGAAATCAACCACCACAATGTGGTTCCTCATAGAGCTTCCTTCTAGTTTGTATCATGGGTTTTTTATGTTTTCAGCTATAGCCTCAATAAGCTCTCAAATATCCCTTCACAGATTCTATAAAAACAGTGTTTCCAAGCTGCTGAATCCAAAAAAAAAGTTTAATTCTGCTAGATGAATGCACACACCACAAAGCAGTTTCTCAGAAAGTTTTTTCTGAAGATATTTCCTTTTCCACAATAGGCCTCAATGCACTCCCAAATATCCCTTTTCAGATTCTACCAAAACAGTGTTTCTACACTGCTAAATCAAAATAAAGTTTAACACTGTGAGTTGAATGCACACATCAGAAAGTGGCTTCTCAGATAACTTTCTTCTAGATTTTATCCTGAGATATTCACTGTTTTGCCTTTGGCCTCAATGAGCTAACAAATGTCTATTCGTAGAATGGACAAAAAAAGTGTTTCCAGACTGCTGAAATCCATAGGAAGGTTTAACTCTGCGAGATGAATGCACACATCACAAAGTGGTATCTCATGTAGCTTTGTTCTATTTTTTGTCCAGGAATATTTGCTCTTTTGAATTTGGCCTCTATGAGCTCCCAAGTATACATTTGCAGAAAGGACAAAAACAGTGTTTCCTAACTGTTGAATGAAAATAAATGTGTAACTCTGAGAGACTAATGTACACATCACAAAGAGGTTTCTCAGATAGATTTCTAGTTTTTATCCTGGGATAGTTTCTTTTTCCCCTGTGACCGCAATGAGCTCCTAAATATCCATTCACAGATTCTACCACAACAGTGTTTCCAAACCCCTGAGTCCACAGAAACGTTTAACTCTGTCAGATGAATGGACACATCACAAAGCAGTTTCTCAGAAAACTTATTTCTACTTTTTATCTGAATATATTTCCGTTTTGACCATAAGCCTAAATGGGCTCTGAGATAGCCCTTTAAAGATTCTACAAAAACAATGTTTCCAGACTCTAGAATGAAGCAAAAAGTTTAACTCTGCCAGAGGAATGCACACATCACACAGCAGTTTCTCAGATAGCTTTCTTCTAGTTTTTTTTCCTGGGATATTTGCTTTTTTACCATTGGATCCAATGAGCTCAAAAAGTGTCCATTTGCAGAATGGACAAACACAGTGTTTCCAAATTATTGAATCCAAAGAAAGGTTTAACTCTGTGAGGTGAATGCACACATCACAAAACAATTTCTCAGAAAGCTTCTTTCTAGTTTTTATCTCGAGATATTTCCTTTTTCACCATACGCCTCAATGTACTCCCAAATATCGCTTCTCAGAGTCTGCCAAAACAGTGTTTCCAGACTGCTGAATGAAAAGAGAAGAGTAACTCTGTGGGGTGAATGCACACATCACAAAGTGGTTTCCCAGATAGCTTTCTTCTAGTTTTTCTCCTGGGATATTCGCTTTTTCACCATTGGCCTCAATGAGCTCCCAAATGTACATTCACAGAATGGACAAATCAGTGTTTCCAAACTGGTGAATGAAAAGAAAGGCTTAAATCCGTGAGATGAATACACACATCACAAAGCAGTTTCTCAGAAAGCTTCGTTCTACTTTTTATATGAAGATATTTCACTTTTCACCAGAGGCCTCAATGTGCTGCCAAATATAAGTTTGCAGAATCTACAAAAACAGTGTTTCCAAACTGCTGAATGAAAGGAAAGTTTTAACTCTGAGAGATGAATGTACACATAACAAAGAAATTTCTCAGATAGCTTTATTCTAGTTTTAGTCCTGGGATATTTGCTTTTTTAACATTGGCCTCAATGAGCTCCCAAATGTCAATTTGCAGAATGGACAAAAACATTGTTCACAAACTGCAGAACCAAATGAAAGGTTAAGTGTGAGATGAATGCATACAACACAAAGCAGCTTCATAGAAAGCTTCTTTCTAGTTTTATTCTAAAGATGTTTCATTTTTCACCATAAGGCCTCTATGCACTCCAATTATCCCTTCACAGATTCTACAAAAACTGTTTTAAAACTGCTGAATCAAAAGAAAGGTTTAAATTTGCGAGATGAATGCACACATTACAAAGTGGTTTTTCAGATAGCTTCATTCTAGTTGTTACCATTGGATATTTGCTTTTTCGTCTTTGACCTCAAAGGGCTCCCAAATGTCCATTTGCAGAATGAACAAAAACAGTGTTTCTAAACTGCTGCATCCAAAGAAACGTTTAACTCGGTGAGGTGGTTGAATGCCCACATCACAAAGCAGTTTCTCAGAAAGCTTCTTCTAGTTTTTAAATGAATGTGTTTTATTTTTCACCATAGGCCTCAAAGTGCTCCAAAAACCCCTTTCACAGATTCTACAAAAGAGGGTTTCCAAACTGCTGAACAAAAAGAAAGGTTTAACTCTGCAAGATGAATTCAAACATCACAAAGCAGTTTCTCACATAGCTTCCTTCAAGTTTTTATCCAAGATATTCATTTTTTTGCAGTAGGCCTCAATGAGCTCCAAAATATCCCTTCACAGATCCTACAAAACAGTGTTTCCAAACTGCTGAATGAAAAGAAAGGTTTAACTTTGTGAGATGAAAGGACTCATCACAAAGCAGTTTCTCAGGTAGTTTCCTTCTAGTTTTTATCCTGGGACATATGCTTTTCCACCATTGGCCTCAATGAGCTCCCAAGTGTCCTTTTGCAAAATGGACAAACAAAGTGTTTCCAAACTCTGAAACAAAGAAATGTTTTAACTCTGTGAGATGAATGAACACATCAAAACAGTTTCTCAGAAAGCTTTTTTCTAGTTTTTATGTGAAAATATTTCCTTTTTGAGCATAAGCCTAAATGTGCTCCCAAATATCCCTTCACGGATTCTACAGAAATGTATTTCCAAACTGCTGAATGAAAAGAAAGTTTTAAGTCTGTGAGATGAATGCACACATAACAAAGCTGTTTCTCAGATAGTTTCCATCTAGTTTTTAACTTGGGTTATTCGGGTTTTCACCATTGGCCTCAGTGAGCTACCAAATGTCCATTTACACAATGGATACCTAGAATGTTTCCAAACTGCTGAATCCAAAAAAAAAATTTGACTTGCTGAGATGAATGCACACATCACAAAGCAGTTTCTCAGAAAAGTTCTTTCTAGTTTTTATCTGAAAATGTTTTCTTTCTCACCGTAGAGATCAATGTGCTCCCAAATATCCCTACATAGATTTTAATAAGCAGTGTTTCCAAACTGCTGAATGAAAAGAAAGGTTATATCTGTAAGAGGAATGCACACATCAAAAATCAGTTTCTCAGATAGCTTCCTTCTGGTTTTTATCTTGGGATATTCGCTTTTTTGACATAAGTCTCAATGAGCTTCTAAATGTCCATCCACAGAATAGACGAAAAGTGTGTTCCCAAACTGCTGAATCAAAATAAAGTATTAACTCTGTGAGATAAATGCACACACCACAAAACAGTTTATTAAAAACCTTTCTAGTTGTTATCTGAAGGTGTTTGTTTCTTCAGCATGGGCCTCAATTTGCTCCTAATTACCCCATCATGGGTTCTACAAAAACAGTGTTTCCAAAATGCTTAACACAAAGAAATGTTTAACTCTCCGAGATAAATGCACACATCACAAAGCAGTTACTCAGATAGATAGCTTCCTTCTAGTTTTTATCATTGGATATTCGTTTTTTCACCATTGGCCTCAATGAGTTCCAACATGTACATTCGCAGAATAGACGAAAACAGTGTTTCCAAACTGCTGCATCCAAGAAAGGTTTAAATCTGAGAAATGAATGCACACATGACAAAGCAGTTTCTGAGAAAGCTTCTTTCCAGTTTTTAACTGAAGGTGTTTTCTTTTTCACCATAGGCCTCAATTTGCTCCCAAATACCGTATTGCAGATTCTACCAAAACCGTTTCTCCAAAGTGCTGAATGAAAAGAAAGGTTTAACTCTTCAAGATGAATGCACACATCAGAAATCAGTTTCTCAGATAGCTTCCTTCTAGTTTATATCTTAGGACATTTGCTTTGTTGTCATTGGCCTCAATGAGCTCCCAAATATCCCTTTGCAGATCCTATGAAAACAGTGATTCCAAACTGCTGAATGAAAAGAAAGGTTTAACTCTGCGAGATGAATCCACACATCACAAAGTGGTTTCTCAGATAGCTTCTTTCTGGTTTTTATCCTGGGATATTCAATTTTTTGTCATTGGCCTCAATGAGATCCCAAATGTCCATTTGCAGAATGGACAACAACAGTGTTTCCAAACTCCTGAATCCAAAGTATGGCTTAAATAAGTGAGATGAATGCACACATGACAAGCAGTTTCTCAGAAATTTTCTTTCTAGTTTTTATCTGAAGTTGTTTCCTTTTTCACCATAGGCCTCAAAGCGCTCCCCAATATCCCTTCACAGATTCTACAAAACAGTGTTTCCAAATTGCTGAATGAAAAGAAAGGTTTAACTCTGTGAGTGAATGCACACATCACAAAGCAGTTTCTCTGATAGCTTCTTTCTAGTCTTTATCCTGGGATATTTGCTTTTTGCCATTGGCCTCAGTGAAGTCCCAAATGTCCACTTGCAGAATGGACAAAAATAGCCTTTCCAAACTGCTGAATCCAAAGAAAATTTTGACTCTGTCTGATAAATACACACATCAGAAAGCAGTTTCTCAGAAAGCGTCTTTCTTATTTTTATGTGAAGATGTTTCCTTTTTAACAATAGGCATCAATGCACTACCAAATATCCCTTTGCTGATTCTACAAAAACAGTGTTTGCAAACTGATGAATGAACGGAATGGTTTAACTCTGCGAGGTGAATGCACACATCATAAAAGGGTATCTCTGATAGCTTCCATCTAGTTTTTATCCTTGGATATTCTCTTTTTCTCCATTGGCCTCAATGAACTCCCAAATGGCAATTCAAATAGTGGACAGAAAGAGTGTTCCCAAACTGCTGAATCAAAAGGAGGGCTTATCATTGTGAGATGAATGCACACATCACATAACAGTTTCTCAGAAAGCTTCTTCCTGGTTTTTATTTGAAGGTGTTTTGTTTTTCACCATAGACCTCAATTCATTTCCCAATACCCATTTACAGATTATACAAAAACATTGTTTCCAAACTGCTACATGAAAAGAAATGTTTAACTCTGTGAGATGAATGCACACTTCATAGAGCAGTTTCTCAGAAAGTTTCTTTCTGGTTTTCATCTGAACATATTTTACAATAGAACTCAATGTGCTCCCACATATCCCTACATAGATTTTAATAAACAGTGTTTCCAAACTGCTGAATGAAAAGAAAGGTTTACCTCTGTGAGGAGAATGCACACATCACAAAATATTTTCTCAGAGAGTTTCCTTCTAGTTTTTATCTTGGTATGTTCACTTTTTCGCCCTTGGCCTCAATGAGCTATGAAATGTCTATTCGAAGAAGGGTCAAGAACACTATTTCCAAACTGCGGAGTTCAAAGAAATGTTTAACTCTGTGAGATGAATGCACACATCACAAAGCAGTTTCTGAGAAATCTTCTTCCAGTTTTTATCTGATGATGATTCCTTTTTCACCACAGGCCTCAATGTGCCCCGAAATATCTCCTTGCAGATTCTACAAAAACAGTGTTTCCAAACTGCTGAATGAACAGAAAGGTTTAGCTCTCCTAGCTGAATACACACATCACATAGTAGTTTCTCAGGAAGTTTCCTTCCAGTTTTTATCATTAGATATTCACTTTTTCACCATTGGCCTCAATGAGCTCAACAATATCCATTTGCAGAATGGACAACAACGTGTTTCCAAACTTCTGAATCCAAAGAAAGGTTTAACTCAGTGAGATGAATGCACACATAACAAACAGTTTCTCAGATAACTTCTTTCTAGTTTTTATCTGAAGATGTTTCCTTTTTCACCATAGGCCTCAATGCACTCCCAAATATCCCTATGGTGATTCTAAAAAACAGTGTTTCCAAACTCCTGGATGAAAAGAAACTTTGAGCTCTGTAAAGTCAATGCACACATAACAAAGATGTTTCCCAGAGAGCTTCCTTCTAGTTTTCATCCTGATATATTCACCTTTTTGCCATTGGCATCAATGAGCTCCCAAATGTCCATACACAGAATGAACAAAAACAGTGTTTCCAAACTGCTGAATCCAAAGAAAGTTTTAACTCTGTAAGATGAATGCACACATCACAAAGCTGTTTCTCTGAAAACTTTTTTCTAGTTATTATCTGAAGATATTTCCTTTTTCACCATAGGCCTCAATGTGCTCGCAAATATCCCTTTGCAGTTTTTACAAAGACAGTGTTTCCAAAGTGTTGAATGAAAAGAAAGGTTTACCTCTGTGAGGTGAATGCACACATCACAAAGCAGTTTCTCAGCTAGCTTCCTTCTAGTTTTTAACCTGGGATATTTGCTTTTTTGCCATTGACCTCAATGAGCTCCCATATGTACATTTGCTGAATGGACAAAAACAGTGTTCCCAAACTGCTGAATCCAAAGAAAGGTTTAACTCTGTGAGATGAGTGCACACATCACAACTCAGTTTCTCTGAGAGCTTATATCTACTTTTCATTGAAGATGTTTTGTTGGGAGCAAGCCCCCCAATATCTGGCCATAAGCTGGTCCCAAAACTGGCCATAAATAAAATTTCTCCCACACTGTGACATGTTCATGATGACCATGATGACCACACTGGAAAGTCGTGTGTTTATCAGAATGAGGACAAGGAACACCTGATCCGCCCAGGGCAGAAAATCTCTTAAATGCGTTCTTAAAGCACAAACAATAGTATGAGTGCATTGTGCCTTAAGGGCCTGTTCCTGCTTCAGATGACTGGCCAGATCCACCCCTTTATTTCAGCCCATCCCTTCGTTTCATGTAAGGGATAATTTTATTAATTGAATAGGCAAAGAAACAATGCTAATGACTGGATCACTGTTAATAAATTTGTGGGTAAATCTCCATTGATGGCTCTCAGCACTGAAGGCTGTGAAATCCCTGATTTTCCACTTCACTCCTCTATATTTCTGTGTTTTTTCTTTAATTCCTCTAGCACTTCTAGCTTAGGGTCTCCCTGACCAAGCTGGTCTTGGCAAATGGCATCTATCATGGGGGCTCTAATCCAGATCAACGGTCACCAGAGCAAGGTTTGGAGAATGTGGAACTAGCTGGAGGACTTCCAAGTACTCTTAAAGCAATCCCCCTTGTGAGTAAGAAGGGGAGCTTGGAAACATCATGTTAACAATGGGACAAGTTTGGTCTCTGGTTCGTTTCACCTTAGAGATTTTTCACACTAATGATGAGGAGGACGGAGAGTATAGGGGAGTAACAGAAGAGGTCACAGAGCAGGCTTATTTGCCTGTTAAAGCTAAAGTGGCAAAGGAGGGAGAGGTTCATCCTTACCCTTCTGCACACCTTCATTAAGATTTTGAAGAAAAAGACCCTCCAGATCTTTCTTTTCTAGATGACACTGGACAAAATTTGTTGCCCCGGGAACTGTTTGAGCAGCACATTGAGTGACAGCTCTTAGTTCTATTCAGGCAGGTATTCAGTAAGCTAGAAGAGGGTGATTTAGAGGCTTGGCAGACCCCTGTTAGAATACAGCCCCCAGAACAACAGGGAATTATTTCAGCTACATTTTATCCTTTTCCTTTTAAATGACTAAAATAATTTAAACAAGCTATAAATCAGTATGGACCAGATTCTCCTTTTGTAATGGGACTGTTAAAGGATGTTGCTGTTTTCAGTCAGATGATTCCCAGCCACTGGGACACCCTTACTCGAGCTAGTCTAACTCCTGCTTAGTTTTTACAATTTAAAACTTGGTGGGCAGATGAAGCCTCCATTCAGGCTGCTCACAATGCCCAGGCCCAACCTCAAATTAATATAATTGCAGACGAACTTTTGGGGGTTGGCAGCTGGGTTTGTTTAGATGCACAAGTGGTCATACAACATAATGCCATAGAACAGCTTAAGGGAGTGTGCATTAGAGGTTGGGAAAAAATCACTGCATGTGGAGAAAAATACCCTTCATTTAGTTCTATGAAACAGGGACCAAGAGAACCATACGTGGATTTTCAGCTGCTCAGGATATAGTGTTGTAGTTATTAGCTTTTGACAATACTACTCCGAATTGCCAGGCTGCTCAGTGACCTATCAGAGGGAAAGCATATTTAGTTGATATATCAAGGCCTGAGATGGTATTGGAGGTAATCTGCATAAATCTACTTTGTTGGCACAGGCAATGGCAGGACTGAGAGTGGATAAAGGAAATACTCTATTTCCTGGAACTTGTTTTAACTGGAGGAAGCATGGACATACTTAAAAAGAATGTGGAAAAATCAGCAAGTCAGGCTACCAGATAGGGGAAAAAAGAAAACTACTGAGCCTGAAATATGTCCAAAATGTAAAAAAGGAAAACATTGGGCTAATCAGTGTCACCCTTAGTTTGATAAAGAAGGGAACCTGATTTTGGGAAATGCCATGAGGGGCCCATCTGGGGCCGTGTTCTAAACTGGGGCATTTCCAGCTCAGGCCATCCTTTCAACCCTGTACAATATCTGCCCCCAACCACAGCTGGCAATGCAGCAGTAGATTTATGCTGCACAAAAGCTGTGAGCCTTCTGCCTGGGGAATCCCTGCAAAAGGTCCCAACAGGAGTCTGCAGACCCTTGCCAGTGGGGACAATAGGATTAGTTTTAGAAAGGTCTAGTTTAAGTTTAAAAGGGGTACACATACATCCAGGAGTTATTGATTCAGATTATAATGAAGAAATTCAAATTGTTATATCTATTTCTGTTCCCTGGAAAGTAGAGCCAGGAGACAGCATAGCACAGCTCCTGATTGTGCCATATATGGGAATGGAAAACAGTTAAATTAAATGAACAGGAGGATTTGAAAGCACAGATAAGCAAGGCAAAGCAGCTTATTGGTTAAATCAAATCACTGATAAACGTCCTACCTGTGAAATAACAATTCAGGGAAATAAATTTAAAGGCTTGGTAGATACAGGAGCAGATATTTAATCATTTCTCTACAGCACTAGTCATCTGCGTGGCCAGTTCAACCCACTTAATTTAACATAGTGGGAGTTGGTAAAGCCCCTGAATTATATCAAAGTAGTTATATTTTGCATTGTGAATGGTCCGATGGACAACCTGGGACTATTCAACCAATTATAACTTCTGTACCTATAAATTTATGGGGGAGAGATTTACTACAACCATGGAGAACACAAGTTCTCATTCCAGAACAATTATATGGCCCTCAAAGTCAACATATGATGCATGAAATGGGGTATGTTCCTGGTATGGGAATAGAAAAATATTTACAAGGTTTGAAAGAACTGCCTCAAGTGGAAAAACAAAGTTCCCGCCAAAGATTAAGAAATAATTTTTGATGGCCATTGTTAAGCCTCCAGAACCTGTACTTTTAAAATGGTTAACAGATAAGCCAATTTGGACAGAACAATGACTGTTAAGTAAAGAGAAACTGGAGACTGTAGAGAAATTAGTTACTGAAAAATTAGAAAATGGGCACACAACTCCAACATTTTCCCCTTGGAATTCTCCAGTTTTGTAATTAAGAAAAAATCAGGTAAATGGAGAATGTTAACTGACTTAAGAGTATCAATTCAGTTATACAACTCATGGAAGCATTACAGCCAGAATTGCCTTCTCCTGCTATAATTCCAAAAAATTGGACTTTAATAGTCATAGATTTAAAAGAGTGTTTCTTTACTATCCCTTGACCTGAGCAAGACTGTGAACATTTTGCTTTAGAATTCCTGCAGTAAACAACCTGCAGCCTGGTAAGTATTTTCATTGTTTCACTGATGGGTCTCGTAATGGTGAAGCTTCTTATTCTGGCTCGAAAAGTAAGGTTTTCCAGATGCCCTATACTTCAGCTCAAAAAACGGAGCTTGTAGCTGTAATTGAGTTATTGACTGCTTTTGATATGCCAATTAATGTGATTTCTGATTCTTCATATGTGGTTCATTCCACACAGTTAATTGAAAATGCTCAGTTATGATTTCCTACAAATGAACTACTGATGATTTTATTTAACCAATTGCAAACAGCAGTTAGGAGTAGAAAGCATCCTTTTTACCTCACTCACATTAGGGCTCATACACCTCTTCCAGGACCTTTGACTGAAGGAAATCAAATGGCTGATTGCCTAGTTGCTAATACAATATGTAATGCTAGACACTTTCACAATTTAACCCATGTTAATGCCTCTGGTCTCAAATGCAGATACAGCATTACCTGGAAATAATCTAAAGTTATTATCCAGTGATGCCCAACTTGTCAAATGGTACATTCCTCATCTTTTACAGGAGGAGTTAGTCCTCGAGGATTGGAACTTAACTGTCTTTGGTAAATGGATGTCACACATATTCCCTCGTTTGGGAGATTAGCTTAAGTACATGTATGTGTGGAAACCTTTTCTCACTTTGTCTGGGCTACATGAAAAATCAGGAGAGTCTTCTGCCTGTGTTAAACCACACTTTTTGCAGTGTTTTGCAGTGATGGGCATTCCATATTCTATTAAAACAGATAATGCCCCAGGCTATACTATACAAGCTCTAGCTATATTTTTCTCTATGTGGAATATTAAACACATTACTCCCTAAAACAGCAGTTGCAAAAGCAGAAAGGGGGAGACAGAGAATATGGAACAGTGCAGACACAACTGAATGTAGCATTATTAACTTTAAATTTTTTGAGCGTGCTGAAAGGCCAGATGTTATCAGCAGCTGAACAGCATCTACAGAAACCAGCTGCAAAGACAGAAGCAGAACAACTGATTTAGTGGAGAGATCTGATTACAAAAAGTAGGGAAAAAACGTAAAATCATAACTTGGGGTAGAGGTTATGCTTGTGTTTCTCCAGGCCAAAATGAACAGCCGTTTTGGATACCATTAAGACCCTGAAAACTTATCGTGAGCCAGATGCCAAGGAAGAGACTCTGGGAGGATCCTGAGGGCATCCCAGTTGCAGCCATGTTGAGATTGATGCTGAGGTGGACCCCCAACTGCCACGAGCAACACCCATTGAACACAGCCACCCACCCAGGGACAGATAAAGAAGCTGTCACAGATGGCGGAAGAAAACTTGAGGAAAGCAGGAGAACCAGTCACAACGTATAATTTAATGGTAGCTATGATAGCAGTTATCACCACTGCCGTGAGTATTCCTTCAACAAGGGCTGACACAGAGAACAATTTTACTTATTGGGCATATTGATCAATCTTGGCTGGCAATAATGCCTGGATGCAATCACTCTATGATGCAGTTACACATGCTTTCTGATCTCAGTATTTTTCGTAATAAATCTGCTCCTATAATTGAGGCATACTGCCTGCAATAACATATTTGTAAACAAAATTGAACCTGGCCAGAAAATCTGAACATACTTGTTTCAGAAGATTGCATTTCAGAACTGGCAGAGGTGCTGCACAATGATTACTTGGAGTCATTATTGTTTGATCCCCTAAGGGGATGTTTAGTTTGAATTTCACATCTGAGTGTGCCTGCCATGGCCACACTATGTTCAGCTGGTCTGAACAAAATGGTCAGATGGTCGATATATTAAGAAGTATGGCAAGAGTTCCTATTATCTGGGATCATGGCAGTATAGTGGCACCTCAACTTAAATGATATGGACAGTTGTAGGAGCTAAACATAAGGATTTGTGGAAACTACTAATAGTTCTTAATAAGATCAAAATTTGGGAAAGAATAAAAAAGCATCTATAAGGACACTTACAAACCTGTTTTTGGATATTGCAGAATTAAAAGAAAAAATATATAAGGCATCCCAGGCAAACCTGAACTTAATGACAGGAACTGGAGTGCTTCAAGGAGCTGCAGACAAATTGGCAGTGAGTAACCTATTACAATGTATAAAAAGACTTGGAAGGGCTGTGATTTCAATGATGATTGTGCTTTTAATCTATGTTGTTTGTCTTTTTATAGTCTGCGTATGCAGATCCTGACTCCTGCAAGAAGTAGCTCGCCATGACAAAGCAGCTTTGCTTTTATTGATTTGCAAATCAAAGAAGGTGGACATGTTAGAAACAAACCCCCCAAAATCCAGCCATAAACTGGCCCCAAAACTGGCCATAAGCAAAATCTCTACATTACCGTGACAAGTTAATGATGGTCATAATGCCCATGCTGGAAGGTTACTGGTTTACTGAAATGAGGGCAAAGAACACCTGGCCCACCCAGGGTGAAAAACCACTTAAAGTCGTTCTTAAACCAAAAACAATAGCATGAGCAATCTGTGCTTTAAGGGCATGCTCCTCTGCTGATGACCAGCCAGATCCACAACTTTAAATTGGCCCATCCCTTCATTTCCAATAAGGTATACTTTTAATTAATCAAATAACTGTAGAAACAATTCGAATAACAGATTGCTCTTAATAAATTTGTGGATAAACATTTGTTTGGGGCTCACAGCTCTGAAGGCTGTGAGACCCCTGAATTCCCAATTCACACCTCTATATTTCTCTGTGTGTGAGTTTAATTCATCTAGTACCACTGGTTTAGGGTCTTCTTGACTGAGCTCATCTTGGGAATGTTTCATTTTTCACCACAGGCCTCAATGAACTCCCAAATATCACTTCGCAGATTCCACAAAAAAAATGTTTCCAAAATGTTGAATGACAAGAAAAGTTTAACTCTGTGAGATGAATGCACACATCAATAAGGCATTTCTCAGATAGATTCCTTCCAATTTTTATCCTGGGATATTTGATTTTTTGCCTTTGGCCTCAATGAGCTCACAAATGTCCACTTGCAGAATGGTCAAAAACTGTTTCCAAACTGCTGAATCAAAAGATAGGTTTAACTCTGAGAGATTAATGCACATATCAAAAGGTGGTTTCTCAGAAAGTTTCTTTCTAGTTTTTATCTGAAAATACTTCCTTTTCCACCATATACCTCAATGCACTCCCAAATACCCCTTTGCAGATTCCACAAAAACTGTTTCCAAACTGCTGAATGAAAAGAACGGTTTAAAGCTGCAAGATGAATGAACAATCACAAAGCAGTTTCTCAGATAGTTTCAATATATTTTTTATCCATGGATGTAGGCTTTTTTGCCATTGGCACAAAAGAGTTCAAAAATGTCCATACGCAGAAAGGACAAAAAGAGTGTTTCCAAACTGCTGAATCAAAAGAAAGTTTCAACTCTGTGAGATGAATTCACACATCTCAAAGTGGTTTCTCAGAAAGCTTCTTTCCGGTTTTTGTCTTAAGATGTTTCCTTTTTCACCATATGCCTCACTGCGCTCTCACATATCGCTTCACACATTCTACAAAAACAGTGTTCCCAGACTGCTTAATGAAAAGAAAGTTTTAACTCTGCGAGGTGAATGCATACATCACAAAGCAGTTTCTCAGACAGCTTCCTTCTAGCTTTTCTCCTGGGATATATGCTTTTTATCCATTGGCCCAAAACAGCTCAAAAATGTCCATTCACAGAATGGATAAAAGCAGTGTTTCTAAACTGGTGAATTAAAAGAAAGGATTAACTCTTCAACAAGAATGCAAACATCAGAGAGCAATTTCTTAGATAGCTTCCTTCTAACTTTTTATCCTGGAATATTCGCTTTTTCACCTTGGCCTCAATGAGCTCCCGAATATCCATTTGGAAAATGGACAAAATCAGTGTTTCCAAACTGTTGAATCCAAAGAATGTTTTAATCCTTTGAGATGAATGCACACATCAAAAGAGGTTTCTCAGAGAGCTTCTTTCTGAAGACGTATCTTTTTTCACCAATGGCCTCAGTGTGCTCAAAATATCCCTTCACAGATTCTGCAAAAACAGTGTTTCCAAACCGCTGAATAAAAAGAAATGTTTAACTCTGTGAGACAAATGCAAACATCAAAAAGTAGTTTCTCAGATTGCTTCCTTCTGGTTTTTATCATGGGATTTTCTCTTTTTCACCTTTGGACTCAAAGATGTCCAAAGTGTCCATTCACAGAATGGACAAAAACAGTGTTTCCAAATTGCTGAATAAAAAGAATGGTAAAATTCTGTGAGATGGATCCATGCATCACAAAGTAGTTTCTCAGAAAGCTTCTTTCTAGTTTTTAACTGAAGATGATTCCTTTTTCACCAACGGACTCAATGCACTCCCAAATATCCCTTCGCAGATTCTACAAAAACAGTGTTTCCAAACTGCTGAATGAAAAAAAGGTTTCACTTGGAGAGATGAATGCACTCATCACAAAGCAGTTTCTCATGTAGCATCCTTCTCGTTTTTATCATGGGATATTCACTTTTTCACCTTTGGCCTCAATGAGCTGCAAATGTCCATTTGTAGAATCGATATAAACAGTCTTTTCAAAATGCCGAATCAAAACAAAGGTTTAACTCTGTGAGATGAATGCACACATCACAAAGCAGTTTCTTAGAAAGATTCTTTCTAGTTTTTATCTGAAGTTGTTTCCTTTTTCACCACAGGCCTCAATGAACTCCCAAATATCCCTTCACATGTTCCACAATGACAATGTTTCCAAACTTCTGAATGAAAAGAATGCTTTAATTCTGACAGGTAAATGCACGGATCACCAATTGGTTTCTCAGGTAGCTTCCTTCTAGTTTTTATACTGGTGTATTTGCATTTTTGCCATGGGTCTCAATGAGCTCCCAAATGTGCATTCACAGAATGGACAAAAACAGTGTTTCCAAAAAGCTGAATCAAAAGAAAGTTTTAACTCTGTGAGATGAAAGCAAAAATATCAAAGCAGTTTCTCAGAAAACTTCTTTCTAGTTTCTAAGTGAAGATATTTCCTTTTTCACCATAGTCATCAATGCGCTCCCAAATATCCATTTTGAGACTCTGCTAAAACAGTGTTTCAAAAAGATGAATCAAAAGAAAGGTTTAACTCTGTGAGATGAATGCACACATCACAAAGCTGTTCCTCAGAATGTTGCTTA